>NC_000023.11:146899848-147202878 GCF_000001405.40 Homo sapiens
TGAAACTTCAATGGATGAGAACTTGCTGCTTATAGATGAGCAAAGAAAGTGGTTTGTTGAGATGGGATATATTTCTGGTTAAGATACTGTGAACATTGTTGAAACGACAACAAAGGATTTAGAGTGTTACATAAACTTAGTTAATAAAGAGGTGGTAGGGTTTGAGAGGATTGATTTTAATTCTAACAGAATTTCCACTCTGTGTAAGATGCTATCAAACAGCATAGCATGCTACAGAAAAATCTTTTGTGAAAAGAAGAAGCAATGGATGCAACAAACTTCACTCTTATCTTATTGTAAGAAATTGCCACAGCCACCCCAAACTTCAGCAGCCACCACCATAATCAGCCAGCAGCCACCAACATGGAGGCAAGATTCGCCACCAGCAAAAAGACTATGACTTGCTGAAGGCTCAGATGAGTGGTAGCACTTTTTGGTGATAACGTATTTTTAATTAGATATGTACATTTTTTAGACATAATGTTGCACACTTAATAGACTACTATGGTATAAACATAGCTTTCATATTCACTGGGGAAAAAAGCATTTTACTCACTTTATTGTGATATTTGTGTTATTATTGTGGTCTGGAACTGAACCCACAATATGTCTCAAAGGTATGCCTTTACAATTTCAATCATACCCCAATAAAGCTAGAAAGAAGAACACATAGAAGACACATAAAAATGAGATAAAATTTGAAATAATAACTAGAAATGTGTAAAACAAATTTATTTTTCTTAGTGGCTCTGTCCAACAACCTTCAGAAACATTTCTTTTTTTAAATATTTTCTTCAGATTATCTCTAAGGTCTCTTGACAATATATCTGCTTTATTTTCAAAAGGTAGTAGCATTATCACTGTAGTATCACTCTAGTAGATGATTAATGCATACCACAAATGTGCAATATATTTTAAATTACAGTGTTTACCAACTGTCATTTTTTTTTAGTTGACGGTTTAGGCTCAATTTATTTGTGGATTTTTTCAGCAAGTTCTCTAGCTACATACTCTCTCTTTTCCAGGCTAAAAGATCATAGCAATAGGTTTAACTAAAAGTCCACAAAAAAACAACTTTAGTATTAAATTCATATCAAAAAACTTTGTGTTGTATTAAGCATAATTCAAATCAGAGTAGCATATTTTGCATCTTTGACATGACTGTGGATCTTTGATTTATATGAAATGTGAAGCAGAAATAGCCATTTAGTAGCAGCTGTTGATGAAAACTTAGAGGATACATTTCCTTTTCTTCCAATGAGAATATTATTTTGTAGTCATTATTAGAATTTCTCCAGTGGATGAGTCGTGGTTAATTCAATAACTGTACTCATCCCCATGCTGTGCATGAAAAAATTGGAGTCAAGAAGAATAAAATGACTCAGAGAATCTTCTTTGTAACCTACCTGTAGGTATTGCCAAATGTATCCTGAGAACAGCTTGATAATATTTTCAATTTGACCAGATACACAGGCAGATCAATTTAAAATATTCAATTTGACCAGTTCAATTGATCATTATGTACTCAATGTAATTCTTATGCCTACAGAGACAATGGTTAAAAAATGACAATATACAGTTTAAGACTTAAGATTTTCTTATGCTTTTTTTAATGACACTAAGAGATAAATATCAAATTGTAATGTCTTACGAGGGGTAAATTACACATACATTTTGTAGTTTCAAGTTGTTTACTTCTTATGTTCATAAAGTATGAGAACAGGAATTATCATTCATACAAATAAGAAGATAGATTGTTTTATCCATGGGCAACATCATGCTAAGTTTTCTTAGATATGCAAAATTCTCTCAGAGTTCTGAGTGGGGCAGAGTTTTTGGGTCAATTTTGATTTCAAATTGCTCCTTTTTTTCTAGACTATTAATATTTAAGGAAGGCCTAACTACTACATTGGCAAAGCTAGGAAACACCTCTCTTCATTATTGGTACTCCTGCTGGTGCCACAAAGGAAGCAACAGTTTGTTAATCAATTCAACAAATCTTTATCAAATACCAACAATGAACAAAACAAAGAGAGAGGTAGTTATGTCAATATAGATCATAGAGGACTTGAAAGCAGAGGGACAAACAGAAAATAAAAAATAATAATGTATATCCAACACAACACAACAATAAGCATATTACATTTTAATGGAATACTCCCATAAATTTAAAGACAGAGATTTTCAGAATTATTCAAATAGTAGAAAGCACCTTTAATCTGTCTACAAGGGACATACTTTAAATAGAAAGTTATGGGAAAGTTGAAAAATTGGATGTAAAGGACCAGATGGATTCACAGCTGAATTCTACCAGAGGTACAAGGAGGAACTGGTACCATTCCTTCTGAAACTATTCCAATCAGTAGAAAGAGAGGGAATCCTCCCTAACTCATTTTATGAGGCCAGCATCATTCTGATACCAAAGCCGGGCAGAGACACAACCAAAAAAGAGAATTTTAGACCAATATCCTTGATGAACACTGATGCAAAAATCCTCAATAAAATACTGGCAAAACGAATCCAGCAGCACATCAAAAAGCTTATCCACCATGATCAAGTGGGCTTCATCCCTGGGATGCAAGGCTGGTTCAATATACGCAAATCAATAAATGTAATCCAGCATATAAACAGAGCCAAAGACAAAAACTACATGATTATCTCAATAG
Organism: Homo sapiens; assembly: GCF_000001405.40. Taxonomy (NCBI): domain Eukaryota; kingdom Metazoa; phylum Chordata; class Mammalia; order Primates; family Hominidae; genus Homo; species Homo sapiens. The sequence goes on from NC_000023.11 coordinate 146,902,515, forward strand.
ATGCAGAAAAAGCCTTTGACAAAATTCAACAACCCTTCATGCTAAAAACTCTCAAAAAATTAGGTATTGATGGGACGTATTTCAAAATAATAAGAGCTATCTATGACAAACCCACAGCCAATATCATACTGAATGGGCAAAAACTGGAAGCATTCCCTTTGAAAACTGGTACAAGACATTGATGCCCTCTCTCACCACTCCTATTCAACATAGTGTTGGAAGTTCTGTCCAGGGCAATTAGGCAGGAGAAGGAAACAAAAGGGTATTCAATTAGGAAAAGAGGAAGTCAAATTGTCCCTGTTTGCAGATGACATGATTGTATATCTAGAAAACCCCATTGTCTCAGCCCAAAATCTCCTTAAGCTGATAAGCAACTTCAGCAAAGTCTCAGGATACAAAATCAATGTACAAAAATCACAAGCATTCTTATACACCAACAACAGACAAACAGAGAGCCAAATCATGAGTGAACTCCCATTCACAATTGCTTCAAAGAGAATAAAAATAAAATACCTAGGAATCCAACTTACAAGGCATGTGAAGGACCTCTTCAAGGACAACTACAAACCACTGCTCAAGGAAATAAAAGAGGATACAAACAAATGGAAGAACATTCCATGCTCATGGGTAGGAAGAATCAATATTGTGAAAATGGCCATACTGCCCAAGGTAATTTACAGATTCAATGCCATCCCCATCAAGCTACCAATGACTTTCTTCACAGAATTGGAAAAAACTACTTTAAAGTTCATATGGAACCAAAAAAGAGCCCGCATCGCCAAGTCAATCCTAAGCCAAAAGAACAAAGCTGGAGGCTTCACACTACCTGACTTCAAACTATACTACAAGGCTACAGTAACCAAAACAGCATGGTACTGGTACCAAAACAGAGATATAGATCAATGGAACAGAACAGAGCCCTCAGAAATAACGCCGCATATCTACAACTATCTGATCTTTGACAAACCTGAGAAAAACAAGCAATGGGGAAAGGATTCCCCATTTAATAAATGGTGCTGGGAAAACTGGCTAGCCATATGTAGAAAGCTGAAACTGGATCCCTTCCTTACACCTTATACAAAAATCAATTCAAGATGGATTAAAGATTTAAACGTTAGACCTAAAACCATAAAAACCCTAGAAGAAAACCTAGGCATTACCATTCAGGACACAGGCATGGGCAAGGACTTCATGTCCAAAACACCAAAAGCAATGGCAACAAAAGCCAAAATTGACAAATGGGATCTAATTCAACTAAAGAGCTTCTGCACAGCAAAAGAAACTACCATCAGAGTGAACAGGCAACCTACAAAATGGGAGAAAATTTTCGCAACCTACTCATCTGACAATGGGCTAATATCCAGAATCTACAATGAACTCAAACAAATTTACAAGAAAAAAACAAACAAACAACCCCATCAAAAAGTGGGCGAAGGACATGAACAGACACTTCTCAAAAGAAGACATTTATGCAGCCAAAAAACACATGAAAAAATGCTCATCATCACTGGCCATCAGAGAAATGCAAATCAAAACCACAATGAGATACCATCTCACACCAGTTAGAATGGCAATCATTAAAAAGTCAGGAAACAACAGGTGCTGGAGAGGATGTGGAGAAATAGGAACACTTTTACACTGTTGGTGGGACTGTAAACTAGTTCAACCATTGTGGAAGTCAGTGTGGCGATTCCTCAGGGATCTAGAACTAGAAATACCATTTGACCCAGCCATCCCATTACTGGGTATATACCCAAAGGACTATAAATCATGCTGCTATAAAGACACATGCACACGTATGTTTATTGCGGCATTATTCACAGTAGCAAAGACTTGGAACCAACCCAAATGTCCAACAATGATAGACTGGATTAAGAAAATGTGGCACATATACACCATGGAATACTATGCAGCCATAAAAAATGATGAGTTCATGTCCTTTGTAGGGACATGGATGAAATTGGAAATCATCATTCTCAGTAAACTATCGCAAAAACAAAAAACCAAACACCGCATATTCTCACTCATAGGTGGGAATTGAACAATGAGATCACATGGACACAGGAAGGGGAATATCACACTCTGGGGACTGTGGTGGGGTGGGGGGAGGGGGGAGGGATAGCACTGGGAGATATACCTAATGCTAGATGACGAGTTAGTGGGTGCAGCGTACCAGCATGGCGCATGTATACATATGTAACTAACCTGCACAATGTGCACATGTACCCTAAAACTTAAAGTATAATAAAAAAAAATAAAAAAATAAAAAAATAAATTGGATGTAAACATATATGCCATACAAATAGCAACCCAATTAAGGTCGTAATGGCTATGTTTGTATCGGACAGATTTCAAGGAAAAAAGTATTTCCAGGACAAAAAGAAGCAACAAGCCATAATGACACCAACTTAACCATCATATGTTCCTGTCTAGACAGAACTAGCATTTCCCAAGGTATATTCTGAGGAACACTAGCCCAATGAAACAATCAGCAGAAAAAGGTTTGTTGTCCAACAAATATTTGAGACACAGTTCTTTTTTTAACTCTACTTCAATACTTCTTGGACATTCATGATAAGACTTGAAGGGATAGTGGTTTAAAGACCTTAGGGTATTCTGTACACAAGAAAATTAATTGCCTCTGTTTAACCTGCCTTTTTCCAAGTCCATGTAACCATGAAGCCTCTTTTTATTTTATTTGTTTTCACATAACACTTTTAGCGTCCTATAGAATACAATGTTTGGTCAAAATTAAGTTTATCGAGAGAGCTCCATCCCAAGCATTAGGAAAGTGCCTGAAATATTATGGACTATTAGTCAATGTTTGGTGAACAAATGTACTGATATAAACAGAGACAGAGGCAGTATATTAGAATTGTGGTGACAATTGCATCCAAAAGTTAAAATGCCTTGTGAGTGTCCTTATATTTTTATAATGTGTACAACTCATTAACAAGATTGATGGAAAAGAGCACTGCTATATTAAATTCCCCTCCTGGCTAGGGGCAGTGGCTCACTCTTATAATCCTAGCACTTTGGGAGGCCAAGGTGGGTGGATTGCTTGAGTTCAGGAGTTCAAGACCAGTCTGAGCAATGTGGTGAAACCCCATATCTAAAAAAAATACGAAAATTAGCTAGGCATGGTGGTGTGCTCATGTAGTCCCAGTATACTCAGGAGGCTGAGGTGGGAGGATTGCTTGAACCTGGGAGGCCGAGGTTGCAATGAGCCAAGATTGCCCCACTGCATTCCAGCCTGGGTGACAGAGTGAGACCCTGCCTCAAAAAAAAAAAAAAAAAAAAAAAATCCCCTCCATGCTAAGAAGTACTGGTCATTCTAGCTTGCAAGGCCAAGATAAAACTTGTGATTAGAGGATTTTCTCTCTTCGACATATCCTAGAAAGTCAAGCTAGATTATAAACCAAAGAAATTGAAAAAGTAGAAGCCTATTTTACCAATTGCTATGATAATTTGGGCCAGAAGGAGACTACTAAATATGGGTCCGGGTGAAAGTGTCAAATGATAAGCAAGAGAAATTTGACCAAATGATTCATAAGAGCAAATGTCGCAAAAAAAAAAAAAAAAAAAAAAAAAAAAAAAAAAAAAAAAGAAGAGCAATAGAGTCCAGTTGTTACGGGATTCTTGCGGTATCACTTCTCTGGCCTGAAACCTCTGACTGGTGGCACCTTTGCTCGAGTTTTGCTTGGGCCCCTGGGCTTGTTCTGTCCACTTGGCCTGACAGGTTGCACTCAGCTCGCACTACTGGCCTGGATCCCACTCCTGCCAAGGGCAAGTCAGGCCTGGAGTGGAGAGGGGTTGGTGAGCGAGTGTGGGGTCTGGCCACTGCTCAGACATGCCAGCTTCTGCAGTGGGTGGACAGCTCCAGGTTTCAACATGGGTGCCAGGTCTCTGCAAGGCTGTGGCTGTACCGGGTGCACCACAAGCAGCTTCCCCGGCTGGCACCAGGGAACACAGTAGTGCCCTCAAGCTTGGAGACACCAGTCACTGCAGGACCCCAAAGAGGAAGTCACAGATCTGGCTTGGGGAGCTCTCAGGTCTGTACTCCCTGAGGGGCTGCAGCTATCCTCTCCTTCTCTTTGCCCACAAGGTGGTAAGCAAGGGACATGTTTCAGCCCATGTGTTACAGCTCTTTTAGCTCCACCATTCAGCAGGTCCCAAGTTCTTGTCCTGTGACCACCAATAATGAGGTACACAGAAAAGTGGAGGGTTAGCAAGATGAAGAGGAGCTTTACTGAGCAATAGAACAGCTCACACGACCTGCAGTGTGTAGCTCCTTTCCACATTCAGGTTGTCTCAACAAGTGTTCAGCTCCTAGCAGAGAGGAGACCCTGGAATAGGAAGCTCCTCTCCTCAAGCAGATCATCCCATTATCTTCCCAGCTCTCAGCAGAGAGGAGGCCCTGGAGTGATTTGATCCTCTCTGCAGCTGGTAGTCCTGACATCTCTGCAGGCCTCTGAAGCTCTCAGCAGAGAGGAGGCCCTAGAGTGTGTAGCTCCTCTCTGCTGCTGGTCATCCTGACATCTGCTGCTCTCAGCAGCGAAGACAGGTTCCCTTTGCAGCTGGCAGGTCCTGTCATCTGCTCAGATCTGGCTGAGCCTAGGAGTTTTATGGGCCTCAGAGGGGAGGAAGTACATGCAGGATGGTCCATGGGTGGCCATGGGAAGCCCAGAAAAGCCACCACAAGTTCCCACTCCAGTCTGCGGGACTGGCAGCCTGGCCCCCAGCCATCAGGAGCTCCCTGGCCTGAAGATGGTACCTCACTGGGGACTTGCCCCCTTCTGCCCAGAAATCTCTCTGCCACCCACTGCCATTTGTGGCACTGGGGCTCAGCCCTGACTTTGCTTCAAGGTTGAAGTGGGTGCCAACAGCAGGCAGATGCCAGGCAGTGGGAGCAGGCATTTCTGAGCCTGCAAGGGCAGGGGGACATTCCCAGGTCCCCAAGAGTGCAGAGATGCCTGAGTCTTCTGCAGCAGTGGTTCGGGCTGCTGCCCCTGAGCCACAGGGTAGGGCTCCTGCCTGCTCCATGGAGTGAGGGGCCCGGGTCTGAAGCCATGGTTTGGGCAGCTGCAGCTGTGACTGGGAGGTCAGGGCTCCTGCCTGTTCCCAGCCCCCAAAGAGCACAGGGAGGCTCGGATCTGCAGCCACAACTTGGGCAGCTGCCAGCCTGCCAAGGAGGGTGGGGCTCCTGCCTTCTCTGTGGAGCAGGAGGCCTGGGTCTGCAGCTGTGGTTTCAATGACTGCAGCGCTCCCAGGGAGCTCCTTCCCCAACTCAGAAGGGACAGGGCTCCCACTTGTCCCATTTCCACTGGCTCCATGGAGGATGCAGCCTCAGCCACACCTCCCTGCTGCTGTCAGCGTGATGGCAGTGGCAGGCCATCTGGAGCGCCCACTGCCATCACTGTGAGATTGATCAGTCAGAAAAGAGAGCAAGAGAAGTAGAACGAGGATTGAAAGTGGAACTGAACAAATTCCAGCAGCACAGGATCAAAGCCTGTTTATGTCTGAATTCCATTGCCTGCATGTGGGCACACATAAGATGAGTCATTTAAATGCACCAGCGTGGAATGTGGGATAATCACAAGGCATCTTACACAATAACAAATTAGGTTATAATCATATATTTTGAAGAAAGTTTTCAACAACAAAGAATGCATGGAACCTCAGTTCCAAAGCTTACATGTATACTGGAGAAAATTGGCAGCATGAAATCAAAGGACATCTAAAAAAATACTACTAGATTATGCCTAACGGAGGAACTTCTATCAGAGAGGGTTGTGTGCTTTAATTGTCTTTTTAAGATGGCATCTCAACTACAAAGAAAATAAATCTCTGGTTAGGAATTATGGACCTTGTTTCCTATTATCTTAGTGTTTAAAGGAAGGAATTATAGACTAAAAGTTATACTTAATAAGCTTGTCTTTCCTGGTCACAGTAGAGATGGTTAATAATAGGCTGAGGACATCAACAACTAAATTACTGTCAGTGATATAAAAAAAGTTTCATCATTAAAAAATGTAGCAAGGGCAAAGAATAGAACTGGATTTCTAGCTTACGAGAGAGAGAATGAAAGAGAGAGAGAGAATTTAAATGCAATTAGGTCTGGGATTGGGTAGAAGATGCAGTGATTGGCAGTGAATGATCTTGTCAAGCCACTGTGTAAGTGAATAATAGGATTGTTAGGCAAGGGAGGAAGAATCTCTTGTCAATTTTTGCTGTATGTCAAAGAGAAACAACTTTCTAGCGCAAGTTTAGCAGTGCCTGAGAGCATAAGTGAAGATGAAGGAACTTTTTTTTTGTATTTCCCTTACTTCCTTGAAATCAGCTATGCAATAACGAATTGATTTGTTCAAGACTGTCCTTACTGCGCTTTACAACCAAGAAATAATTATAAGTATTTACTGAGCACCTACTACGTGACTGATACTATTTGGGAGTAGACTTACAGCATTATTTTATAAAATTCCCTACTGTTCTGCAAGAGCTATACATGGTAATTGTTTCCCTTCAAGAGAATGGGCAGATGAATCTCTGAACAAGACAGCTCATGACACGGTTTATTGGAGCCTTCCTCAAAACCCATCCAAGGTAAGTAACCGTGGATACATCAAATTATCCACAATGTGAGTATTCACTTTTGTTATAATTATGTTCAAAGCAAGGCAGTGCAGGTATTACAAGATCTTTACTTTTGGTATTAGAAATCAACTCTTAAAATAACAACAACAACAAAATCAATATGCAGCCAGTATGTTTTATTTTAATTGTTTGCTGAGGTAGTAAAAATGTGTTTGCTAACAGCTAAATCCTAACTAATGTAATCAATAAAAGTTTTAGAAGAGACTAATAGTGAGTTTAGGAGGAAACAAAATTCTGTTAACCTTTAATTAATGATGGAATTACTTTACACAGAACTCCCCATTCAGGCAAAAACTATGGCTTAATGAAGTTCCATGACCTCTAACGAATAAAGATAAGATAGCAGACACTCTAGTATGGACATATACAAGGCATTGCAATGCTGATATAAATTTTAGTTTGCCTCGGGAAAGAATGAGAAAGATATTTTTGGAAGACTATTTTGGAGCTGTGTGGATGAATCACACATACGTCACATCTACCAGAAAAAGTCAAGCTGCAGAAGAACTCATACAATTGGATACTGTTTATATGATGTTTAATCAATATATTGATTACAAATACCCAAATATGTAGTAAGTGTATAAAAAGTAACAAGAGAATAATAAACACCAAAATTAGTATAATAGTCACTTCTATAAAAGGTGGAGGTAATTGGTGCAAGGAACTTAATTGAATTAAGTTTTTTTTTTTTTCCCCCTGAACTGGTTTTGGATACACAGGTATTTGTTGTGTTCATAGCTATATTTCATTAAACGTACTATTATAATTTTTTTTCAAATATACACACAAGTAGTGGTTTTAGTAAAATAAACTCTCCTATACTCATCTTTTGTATTCAACAATTATTAAAATGTTATATTTACTTCATCTATCTTTGTTCTTCTTTATATTTCTAAAGCATATTTTTTAATCCGAAACAATGTGTTATCTTATTTCTACATACATACATTCTACATTCTTTATATATTTACTACATATTTATGTATTTTAATCAATATATTGTTTTTCATGTTTTTAAACTTCATATCAACAGTACGCAATTGTATGTGTTTGTATTAGCCCATTCTTACACTGCTATAGAGAACTACTTGAGACTAGGTAATTTATAAAGAAAATAGGTTTAATTGGCTCATGATTCTGCAGACAGTACAGGTAGCATGGCTAGTGAGGCCTCAGGAAACTTTCCATCATGGTAACTTTCCATCATGGCGGAAGGTGAAGGGTAAGCAGGCACTCCTTACATGGCCAGAGTAGGAAGAAGAGAGAGAAGGGGGAGGTGCTATACACTTTTAAACAACCACATCTCCTGAGAACTCGCTTACTATACAGTACCAAGGGGAGATGGTGCTAAACTATTAGCAACCGCCCCAAGATCCAATCACTTCCAACTCGGCCCCACTTCCAGCATTGAGGATTACGATGCAACATGAGCTTTGTGTAGGAACACAAATCCAAACCGTATCAGTGTTCCTCTGCAGCTTAACTTTTTCTGGTCAATGTGACATATGTACGATTCATCCATATAGTTCCGCAACTGTTTTACAATATGGGTTTTTAAAAAACATAACAGCAATCCATCATCACTATTAACTAAGAAAATAGTAATTCCTTAGTATCATGTATACCAGAAGCCTATAAAAACAAAATCTTCCTCTAGTTGTCTCAAAAATCCCTTTTATTCAGTTGATTTGTTCAAATCCGGTCCACACTTGATATTTAGTTATTAGATCTCTAGCCCCTTTTAATCTAGGGTGTTCCTCCCTCCCATTTATCTTTTCATGCTATTGGCTTACTTCAGTAACTGGGTCAGTTCCCATAGGCTGTTTATTCATTCTTTCTTTTTGTATGTCTTGAATATTGCATATGTTTTAAAATATTTAAGATGCTATTATGTTGAAAAGGTTATGTATGACATTCACACAGTTGTTGGCCTTTTGAAGCATGATGAGATGATAGAAATGGAGAAAAGTCAATTGTCTGGCACTACGAATTGTATCTTTTTCAGAAGATGTGCCCGGATAATTTTTGACCAAGAAAAGCACTGTGTTATGAGTGGGCATGTATTTAGACATTAGTAGATAATAAATGTCTTACCCAAGAAGCACCAAGAAATGGCACTTTGTGAATTGCAGATCCTCTACCTATTCTTTTTCTAATGATAAATAATCTTTATTCCAGATAAGATTTATTTAATTTAAATTCAGCAAACATTATTTAACACCTAGTATATGCAAGTCATTGTTATATACTGCACCTAGGGTTGGAGACCAAGAGGAAGATTATTATTTATTAATAATAATAACTGATATTTATATAAAAATAAATATATGTCATTAATATCCCCCAAACAATTCCATAAGGTACCATTGCATTGGCTATTATACAAATGATGCTCAGAGAAATTAAGCAAACTGCTCGGGGTCTCATAGCCAGTATAAACTGTTAAAAAATAACTATAGCTGAAATTTGTTTTGTTTGAACTTGATTTGTCTGACTCCAAGACAGAGACTTGTAACACTGTCCTACAGTATACTGCCTCAAAGATAAGTGTAACTAACATGTTGATCACAACAGCTAGGACATTCCACTTCACAGCAATCTGCTTAATTTGGCCCAAACTTCAATTTAATGCCCAGTGCGAGTAAGAAGCCCATTCCCTCCTTCCTATAATTTCAAGTGGCTTATTTTCACACGCCTTCCTCCCTGCAGGATAGCTTTATTTTTGTCACTAAACTATGAATACAACTCATGTTTTCATCAGTTTCCCCATGAAATCTACCAACACCCAGCATGTTTTTGTTTGCTTGTTTATTTGCCTGAGGATGTGAGGTTACAGTCACATGGAGCATTTCCTGGTGGTGGAGCTGGGTCCTACTGCCTGTCTCACAACACCATCCTTACATTATATTTGTACCCAGGTCTTTGGATATCTGGGCTCCTGCCATTAAGTAGCATGAATTTTTTTCCCCCAATGAGTACATGTACTATCCTAAGAAGAATTTTGCTGGCAGCTGTTAGAATAAATATATTTTTCCACCATAAGAGAAGCCTTTCCCAGGTTTCTAATCTATGGGAGTGACATATGCTTTGCTGAGTGACTCCACCACACAGCAGACAGTATTAGACAAGGACAATATTAGACAGATTCCCTGAAGTCTGTTTTTTCACAGACCTTCACAACAGCCTTGGTGGGAATTCTAATTTTCCTACTTTATTTATAAGGAAATTAAGTAAAATTAGGAGAGCCTAATCACTCTAATCAAACCTCCAGAAACTCTTCATTCACCTGTCTCAATTGGATCCCCTGAGGCTCACTTCTTGTTCATGTCAGTTGGCAGCAGTAAATCAGTACCATTGCTTACTCCTTTGATGGGGAACAGAGATTTCTGCTTTAAGAGAGCTAGAAATAGAATTATGTAAATACCGTTAGCTTACAGCACTTCTCATTATCCTCCATACTAGGATTGGCATACATCTCAAATTCTACATTAATTTCCCCCCACAATTTATCTATATATCTATATTTCCTTGAAAAGTTTTTGCAAACATAGGAGATATATATATATGTACATATATGTGTGTGTATATATATATGTGTGTGTGTGTATATATGAATCAGAAACATTTAGAAAATGTCAAATTAGAAAATAATATGCTAAAGGAGAGCTTTAGTTGTGGCATTTACAAGGCTTTTCTTTTAAATCAATATTAGTACCTCAATCATAGGCAATAGAAGGTGCTATTATTTTTATCTTAAATTGCCCATAAACGAAGGACTTTCAAATCTTAGAACAGTATTGCACGAATGTGTTTTTTCTTTATTAATTTTATTGGGGGTGTAATTGGAATAAAATGCAGTACAAACATTTTGAGTGTGCATTACGATAAAATTTGTCAATACAAATGTGTAACCACCATCACAATCGTGACATAGAACATTTCCATCAGCCTAAAAAAAGTTCCCTCTTGAGCCTTTGCTTTCTGTCACAATGGAATAATTTGGGTTTTTTTAGGATTTCATACAAATGCAGTCATGCAATATGTCATACTCCGTGACTAGCTTTTTTCCCTCAGTGTAAAGTTTTGAGATTCATTCACGTTATTGTGTATCAATAGTTTATTTATTTCTACTACTGTATTCCATTATTTGTGTTGTTTGAATATTTAACAGGTTTTTTTTCTACTCATCTGTTGGTACTACTTTGGTCGTTTCCAGTGGTCAAATATTACAAAGAAAGCTGACATTAACATTTATGTACAATGCTCCGTATAGACTTAAATTTCTTGTCTCTTGGATAAATACTTAGGAGTGAAATTGCTGGTTCATGGGGAAGCATGTGTAATCTTTTTTTTTTGTTATCTTTTTTTTTCTTTTTTGTATTATACTTTAAGTTTTAGGGTACATGTGCACAACGTGCAGGTTAGTTACATATGTATACATGTGCCATGTTGGTGTGCTGCACCCATTAACTCGTCATTTAACATTAGGTATATCTCTTAATGCTATCCCTCCCCCCTCCCCCCACCCCACAACAGGCCCCGGTGTGTGATGTTCCCCTTCCTGTGTCCATGTGTTCTCATTGTTCAATTCCCACCTATGAGTGAGAACATGTGGTGTTTGGTTTTTTGTCCTTACGATAGTTCTTTTAAGAAAATGATAGATCTTTTAAAATTGGTTATACCATTTTATGCTACCCCAACAGTGTATGAGAATTCTCATCACTGTACGTCTTCATCAATATCTAGTTCTGTTAGTGTTTTAATTTTAGTGAGGGTGTACTGGTAGCCCATGGTGGCATTTAATTGCATTTTCTTAATTACAAATGAAGTTGTTCCAGCAACAGTTATTGAAAAGCCCAGCATTTTCCATTGGTACTTTAGTTGAATTTATCTATTGAACACATATGTGTAGGATTATTTTTAAACTTTCTATTCCGTTCATTTAAACTACTTATTTATCCTTACATCACTAATACACCATCTTGGTGCCCATGATAATGCTTGAAATCAGGCAGAGTAGCCCTTCAATTTGCCCTCCCTTTAAAATTTTATTTAGGCTGCTCTAGACCCTTCACATTTTCATATGAATTTAAGAATCAGCTTGTATATTTCCACAAAAATATTCTGTTCTGGACATTGTAAAATCTATGTAAAGTAACGAATAAGCCTCCAGCCTCTTCTGGAATGACAGAGGCTGCTGAGTACTTTTCTAAGTTAGCATAGATTAAAGCTATTTTAAGTGTTTCTAAGTATTTTGCAAGCACTTTGCAATGATAAATGGGAGACTGGGTATGAAAGTGACTTTTGAACATCCAAGAATTGTGTAGGATTGTGTATACGTGTGTATGTATGTATATAGTGTATGTGTGTATGTGTATCTACACATATACAGATACAGATAAGAAGAGACAGAGAGACAGAGAGAGATGAGAAAGAGAGAATATTTATTATTTTAAAAGAGTACATTTGAATATATTATTGAAAGACCAGTCTTGTGTCTTGTAGAATTTGCACCAGTTCACAAAAAGCCCATAGAAAATCCACTGAAATGTTGGACATTCGAGATTAGTAACACTTGACAGTAAAGGAAACTGTTATGCCTTTGGGCCAAATTTGTATTTCTAGGTATGACATCGAGTTAATTTTTTTTGTGCTTCATCCTTCAGGAAAACCAACCTTAGCTTGCTTATTAATTCTTGAAGGAACACTACAATAAAAATAAATCCTATAATATTAACTTAATACATTGTTTTTCATGTTCTAATTTTGTTAAATTTGCATAAGTTGTGGATCACTAGTATTTCTCAATATTTAGGTTCAAATATGCATGGTCGTGTGTCTTTATTCTCTCTTCAACATGCCCCTCCAGTGACAAATTAGCAAAGAAAAGTGCAATTTGTATTTTGTATAGTTCAAGTTCTCTCAGGATGTGTCATAATATCCTATTAGACAGTAGTAGTGTAGTGACAGGGAAGATAAAGAGGTTCTGGTCTGTGCTTTGAATGCTGAACTTATTTGTATTAAGAATGTGACAGTTGGATGGACTTCTGAAACCTGTGAAGCTGCTTCTAAAATCTCTCATTGACCTAATCTCTACAGTACAGGATATGTGTACAGTGTTTTTGCTCTAAGCAAAAGGATGTAACACTATATTACAGAGTAAAGTTAAATTCCCATAACCATCGCCCTTTTGAAATGTATTCATGTGCAACTTTAAGTGAGGCTTCTAAGACCCTACCGATATCGGAGGAACCCACCCCTGATAATTCAATGTGGGTTCTTTTCTATTTCCCCAAGTGTCAGCCGGTCTGAGAAATAAAGGGACAGAGTACAAAAGAGAGAAATTTTAAAGCTGGGTGTCCGGGGGGAGACATCACATGTCGGCAGGTTCTGTGATGCCCCCTGAGCTGTAAAGCCAGCAAGTTTTTATTAGCAATTTTCAGAGGTGAGGGAGTGTACGAATAGGGTGTGGATCACAGAGATCACATGCTTCAAGGGTGACAAAAAAATCACAAGGCAGAAGGTCAGGGCGAAACTAGAATCACTATTGAACTTCCATGTCCCTCTGTGCACGCGTTGTCGGGGTTCAAGAGCAGAGAACCAGTCTGACTAGAATTCGCCAGGCTGGAATTTCCTAATCCTGGCAAGCCTGGGGGTGCTGCAGGAGACTAGGGCCTGTTTCATTCCTATCTACATCTGCATAAGGCAGACATTCCCAGGGTGGCCATTTTAGAGGCCCTGCCCTGATAATGCATTCTTTTCCCAGGGCTGTTAATTATTAATATTCCTTATTGGGGAAAGAATTCAGCGATATTTCTCTTACCCATTTTCGGTAATAAGAGAAATATGGCTCTGTCCTGCTTGGCCCACAGGCAGCCAGACTTTAAGGTTATCTCCCTTGTTCCCTGAAAATCACTGTTATCCTGCTCTTAAGGTGCCCAGATTTCATATTGTTCAAACACACGTGCTCTACAAACAATTTGTGCAGTTAATGCAATCATCACAGGGTCCTGAGGCGACATACATCCTCAGTTTATGAAGATGACAGGATTAAGAGATTAAAGCAAAGACAGACACAGGAAATCACAAGAGTATTGATTGCGGAAGTGTTAAATGTCCGTGAAATCTTCACAATTGATGTTCTTCTGCCATGGCTTCAGCTGGTCCCTCCGTTCAGGGTCCCTGACTTCTTTCAACACCTATCCTGTCATTCTCTAGAGAGCTTGTTCCTGAAGCATGGTGCTAAGTCCATATGCAGCAGATGGAGCTCATGAGAAAAGAGTTGCTCTTGTGAAGACCAAAGCTTGGTAAGTGACCGCTTTGTTATTTGAATTTGGTCATTCACAAATTAGAGTTTATGCAGAGGCCATCAAAATGCTCAAAGCCTGTGTACTGTTAGGTGAAGACCTGTAAAAGTAACTGAGGACGATCAACATGAAGACTTGTAGATGACATGACGATGCTCTTTAGAAATGTTATGTTTCCATCTGGATGAATATTTTGTAAATAAAAGGTGTTAATTTTCAGATAAAATTAGAAACTTAAAAAAATAATAATTAGCATTATCTCATGAAGTTGTGAGTTAAAATGTCAGAATGCTGAGCTTTTTTTTCTTTTTTAATTAGACAAAATATGGGATTTGAAGTCAGGTAGAAAGCTGCTATTACATCTGGGCCCCATCACTTACTAACTTTGTGAATTTAGACAAGTTGTTTAGAATTTCTGTTTCTCAGTTTCCTTATCTGTAAAATAACCTAACTCCTAGAGTCATACTGTGAAACTATGTGACATAGTGTGTGCAGCACCTAGCACAGTGCTCAGCTCATAGGACATTATTTTGTCTCTGTCAATGAAGTATTTCCAGCTGAGCTGAATGCTTATGTGTGGGACTGAGGTAAGAAGGCTGTATTAGTCTGTTTTCATACTGCTATCAGGAACTGCCCGAGACTGGGTAATTTTTAAAAGAAAGGGGCTTAATTGACTGACAGTTCAGCATGGCTGGGGAGGCCTCAGGAAACTTACAATCATGGTGGAAGGTGAAGGGGAAGCAAGGCAAAGTTTTCACAAAGCATCAGGAAGGAGAAGTGCTGAGTGAAGGGGGAAGAGACCCTTATGAAACCATCCGATCTTGTGAGAACTCACTCAGTATCACTAGAACAGCATGGTGGAAACCACTCCCTTGATTCTATTACCTCCATCTGGTCTCTCCTTTGACACGTGGGGATTATGGGGATTATGGGAATTACAATTCAATATGAGATTTGGGTGGGGACACAAAGCCTAACCATATCAAAGGCTTTCCCAGTTTTAGTAAAAAAAAAAAAAAAACAAAAAACAAAAAACAAAAAACTCAATTATCTTTAAAGTCTCTTCCAACTCTGCAATTCTGTGTATCATCTTCTAACTTGTAATTATTTTTGTTTCAAATCAGACAGTGTGACATAATACAATAAACATTTTTTGTGCAAAAATACTCCACTACTCAAATACTTAATACTCATTAAATGAGTAAGTATAGAAAATCCTTACAATCTACTCCGAAGCGCAGATGATTATAAACAGTAAAATCTGATCACATTTCCTCTGTATATCTATTTTAATAACTTATGCTTGACCTATGAGTTTATAGTGAATGTCAGATTCTATCTATTCAGCACTGCTGCCAATTTTCAGCTTCAGGAAGTCAGAAAGTATAAGGCATGAAGTGTTAGTTCTGCTCAATTGTCCAGCTGACTCTTCTGACAGCATGAAAAGATTTTGTCTGTGAAGAAGTTGCCAGTTGTCCTTATAAGGTTAGGAGCTGAGTTTGAATCTCTTTATTTAGCTATTTTACATCTTACATGAGTGAAATGATGTAAATCTTTGCAAAACATTTTTTTACATTTTTAGCTTGTGAAAATTCTTTACTCCCGACACCTCCAGTGCAAAATAGCACTTTCCTGTTTTATCTACAAAATGGCCTCCTTTCAGAATATCCCTGGTGCTAATATTAGATTAATATGTGGATTTTCATGAAAAAGATGTCTCCAACTTTTTTTTTATTTAAATTGTCATTCCTTTATAGATTTCTCTTTGACTTTTCAGACTGAGGACCCTAAACCATTTCCAGTCACCCTATGCTTTCTGTATCTTCACACTATATGTACTGTGGAGATTGTCTATGATTTTTACAACATTTAATTTCTCTGCTTTTGTATGCCTCTTTGGATTTCCTGGCACTATTCAGAACTTTTCTGGCTTCTTTGGCTTCTCTCATTTCTAATCACTTAGTGAACATCTCTGCTGGGTTGTTCTATATAAACCTCAAATATCAAATTCAGCGTATACAAACTGTGCTCATCCCTCCAATCTGCCCTAACTTGCTTCTTTCCCCATATTCCCTTTCTGGCATCCTCATAAAAGAATCCTGGAAGTCATCTTAGACTACTTTCCATACATACCCACATATTTATCACTTGTGGCACTCTTCATTTCCTTCTGTGTATTCACGTTACCATCCAGTGCCATTTGATAGTTCGCATCAATCAGTGTTATAACAATAAACTGATTTTTTTCTTCTGCCATCTCAATTTGGCTGTTGAGACGATATATATAGTGGATTTTTCATTTCTGTCATTTTACCTTTCAAATCCACAATTTGTATCTGGTTCTTTTCTTAATACTTACCAGTATTTATTGTATTTATATATTTTATATATATATGTGTGTGTGTGTATATATATACACATATATATATATATAAAATATATATTTTCTCGTAGTTAAAGCAGGCATATGGGAGTACTTGAAACCACCTCTCAGAGAGGTGGCTTTCTGAAACTGTCTCAAAAGCCAGAAAGTCTCTTTCCCAGAACTGTCTTGCAAAATGTTTTCACCTCTCATTGGCTCTAATCATCATAGGCCAACCCCCCTGAATGCAATCATTGGTAAGGGGATGGGATTACCATGATAAGCTTTAATTAAACAGTACTCATTCTTAGAGATGAAGACAATTCCCCAAACTAAATAGCTGCTGATTAATGCTGTATTTGTGTGTGTTTGTGTGTGTGTGCTGGGAGAAATGGATTGAATTCTGGTAATTCTAATATAATGTTCAATAATGTATTTTTGAAGAAAATAATTGTGAGTGCTGATCCAGTTTTTGAAATGGTGGCTAGTTTATAGACCTTTCTACTTCTTCCTGAGTTAATTTTGGTGGTTTAGACATCTTTAGAAAAATATTCATTTTTTTCTGATTTTTTCAAATGTGTTTACAATTTGCTATTCATTAACATCTTTGTTTCCTTCCTTCCCCTTTTGGGGAGGCTGTTCTCTTGTTCCTGATTTGAATGTTAACTTCTATTTTTAAGATGTTATTTAAAAATGAATTAATATTTTTGTACCCATTAACCATCCCCACCTCTCCACTAACCCCCACTACCCTGCCCAGCCTCTGGTAGCCATCCTTCTACTCTCTATGCCCATGAGTTCAAGTGTTCTGATTTTTAGATTTCACAAATATATGAGAACATGTGATGTTTTGTCTTTCTGTGCCTGGCTTATTTCACTTAACATAATAATCTCCAGTTCCATTCATGTGGTTGCAAATGACTGGATTTCATTCTTTTTTTACGGCTGACTAGTACTCCATTGTGTATATGTACCACATTTTCTTTATCCATTCATCTGTTGATGAGCACTTACATTGTTTTCAAATCTTGGCTATTGTGAACAGTGTTGCAACAAACATGGGAGTGCAGATATTTCTTTGATATACTGATTTTGTTTCTTGTGGGTATATACCTAGCAGTGGGATTGCTGGATCATATTGTAGCTCTATGTTTTGTTTTTAAGGAGCCTCCATACTGTTCTCCATAGTGATTTTACTAATTTACATTCCCACCGACAGCCTACGATGATTCCCATTTTTTCCCACATCCTCACCAACATTTGTTATTGTCTTTCTTTCGGATATAAAGTATTTTAATTGGGGTGACATGATATCTTGTAGTTTTTATTTGCATTTATTTGATTATTAATGATACTGAGCACCTTTTAACTGAGCACCATTTGGCAAATGGCAAAAATGCCTGTTTGCCATTGTATGTCTTCATTGGAGAATGTCTATTCAGATCTTTTGCCTATTTTAAATATGAGATTATTAGATTTTTTTCTATAGAATTGTTTGAGTTCCTTATAAATTCTGGTTATTAATTCCTTGTCAGATGGGTAGTTTTTGAATCTATGGGAGGGCAAAGGAAGGAGTACTTCATTTGAAGAAAATTAGGGGAAATGAAGGAGAAGTGAAAAACGTGTCTCCTTGGAACCATGTATAAAGGTTTTTCCAAGACTAAAAGAATTCCATTAGAATTTCAGGCAGAAGACAAAGACTGAGCAAAAGCTTATGGAAAATGACAGTATGTCTAACACCAAGGACTGTAGCCCTGGCTCATGGAATTGTTGCTTGTTTGTATTTGCTGGGCATTCCATACTTGCATTGAATTTGGTGCCTGAAAGATGCCCATCCTCCTGAGTCATTGGATCTGAACACTGCCTTGGATCATGATTCCATCATTTCTATGTTTAATGCCCAGACCTGAACCTATTTCCTTTATGTAAATCTTTCCATCCATCCATCTATCCATCCATTCATCTGCCCATCCATCTTCTACCTAGCTACAATTTAGTTAATGCTTACTAATGCAATCATATACAGAGGAACTCAGTCAGGTTAAGACACAAATATATAGAAAGCTATTACCTAGGTCTTCCCCCAAATAAATGAGGCATAGAATTGCTTAACAAAATAGATGCAATTCTTACATTTAAGGAACTCACAGCTAATGGAGAAAGCAGGCAAATAAGCAATTACAGTTCAGTGTGGCAAGTACTGATATAAGTAAACTTAGCATGCTATGAGAACCTGGAGACTGGTCACCTCACCCTGCCTGGAGTTACAGCAAAGGCTTTTCAGAAAAAAGGATAGCTATAAGTTTGAAGTTAGCCAGGGTGAGGATAAATATTTCAAGAAGTAGAAGAAATTTATGAAGACCTAGAGTTAAGAGAGAATGACATATTTAGGAAATAAAAGTAATCCACTGGAAAGAATGCTGACACCTCCTTTGTTATGGGTTAGGAATTTGTCAAAAAACCAAAAGCATGGGCAAAAGAATAAGAATTAAAAAGGCTAACTAGACAGGTACTGTGAGTGAACTTCTACTTCAATGACTTTGGAAGCCACTTCCTGTGCTCAATTATTCAGCTTTGTTTCAGAAGTTTCATATGTACTATTTTTAAATGAGTTTATATTTTGGGTTTATTAAACATCTGAGGTCATGCTAACATTCTGTCCTTAGGTCAAGGTAAAAAGTAGGTAGAGAGGAACTCACCATTTAAATTTGAAGTTGATAAATAATAAAAGAAACCCAATCCATATTTATCATATGTTTATTCCTAGTCAGAATGTTGTTTAATAAAAACTGTCTAATGTTTCCAGAAGATTTATTAGCTGCTGCTAAGCTCTTTAGGGAAATGTCACTGATTTTGTGAGGTCATGCAAAATTGAATCAGGTATTTGGAGTTTTGTTCCTGATTCTACCACTGACTCACTTCGGGCCTACCTTTGAGGCCTTTTTATGTGAGGCCAAAACATTTTTTCTTACAAGGAGAACAAACTTTGGAGCTTCTTGAAGGGACTGCTTTGTTTATACAGGTATAAATTATTTATTAGGAAGGTCGAACTTTCAGATTCTTTCATGAATAGCAGAAGTTCCTTATAGGGTAAGAGCTAAGCCCTTACCTGGGAAATCGAGCCAGCAACAAAAGGAGTTTCCAAGAAATAAACTAGGCCTAGGAAACACATATATGAAAATCTGACAAACAGATAAATATTTAGATAGTAGTTGGCACTGGAATTTCCAATTGTTTGGGAAGTTTGACATTCAGGGGATTAAACCATGGTCAAAAGTTGACAGGTGCTAAGTTGGGCACAGGACAAGGGCCATTCTCGGAATCACAACAAAGGAGTTAAGACCAAACAAAATTCCATCATAAGGAATGACACGAAATTGGAAATGGGAAAAAGGTTGGTGAGACCAGTGAAGAATAGTTATTTGGTAACAATGGGCATTCACTAATGGTCTCTATGGAAATCAGATCCAAGGTTTACTTATCAAGTGAGGAAGATCTGGAGAAAAAATCAGAAATTACTCATTACAACTGGGCAACTAGTTCCCAGGTCTGCTGGTCTGCTCATTTCTGAGTCTGTGGCAGTGTATTTGTCAGGAGTTCTCTAGAAAATCAGAACCAACAGTATACACACACACACACACACACACACACACACACACACACACACCCATGAGAGAGAGAGAGACAGAGACAGAGAGAGAGAGATTGTTTCATTTTAAGAAATTAGTTTTCATTATTGTGGAGGCTTGGGAAGTCCAAAATCTGCAGGGTGGGTCAGGAGGCTGGAGACCCAGTGAAGATTTACAGTCTTAAGTCCTTCTTCTTCCAGAAAGATCAGTCTTTTTTTATCAAGGCCTTCAGCTGATTGAATGAGCCTTTATCCACATTATGGAGGGCAGTCTGCCCTACCCAGGGTATACTAACTTAAATGTTAATTTCATCCAAAAACCACCATCACAGAAATATTCAAAATAATGTTTGATCAAATATCTGGGTACCATAGCCCAGCCGAGTTGACATACAATATTTGCCGTCATAGCCAGTGACTTAGACTTTAAGACCATGGTAAATAAATAGTTAACTGGGACCAGGATTAACACTAGAATCCCTAAACACTGAAAGGATTATGATGCTTTCACCATACCTAATTCAAAAAAAACATAACATTAAATTATCCTTTTTTTGAAATAATATCTTACATGAATGCTGACTTTCCTAGTTATGTGTGTGTATGTTTGTGTGTATTCTCTATTTTTCTGGTTCCCTAAGCATACTTTTAGTCTATTATATAATACAAGATCTCTTACCTTATTTGCTTCAAAAATTGAGGAAGTTTCCGAGGCTACAAGACACAGACATTAATGGACACGGTTTTCATGAGCTGGGGCCAAGACAATCTGAGAAATGCATGAAGCAAAGGAGATGCACGCACGCACGTGTGTGTGTATGTGCGCGCGCGGTCATGTGTACTCACTAGTGATTTGAAAAATTGGTGAAAGAGTCTGAAATCAGAGATACCCAATTGGTATTGAGAAATATGAGGGCCTGACGTAGGATACTGATATTCGGTGGCTCAGAAAAGAGTGGTAATTTTCTATCCCATTATCTGTTCTATCAGTTTTCTTTTTAGTAATAAACCACCTCATTTTTAACTAGACTAATGGCTGCCCATAATAAGGCCATGTTTCTCAGTCATTCTTGCTTTGTGATGACTCAGTTTTTGCCAGTGAGATTAAGGCAGAAGTGCTATGCAGCAGTTTCTTGGCAAACAAATTAGAAGATTGCTCGTACGTTCATTTGCCCCTGTATTTCCTGTGTTTTTCTTTTTCCTTCTGGCTTCGATGTAGACATGATAGTTTCATATGATGTAGCTATCCTGGATCCCAGCCACCTTTTTTCTCCATGATTTGATGGACCTATGATAATAGCTGTTGCCTGAGATCTCAGGATTCTATTTAAGAATAAAATCAATTTCTGTTTTTAAAAATTATTTTTGTTATTTTTATTGTTATATAAAATCTCATTCAACTGAAACAGATGATGCTGTCATTTTACACTATAAAGAACCAAAGTGTAACATGTTTGGGGAGCCAGATGTTACATTGTGTTTTATAATTCTGAATCTAGTATGTGTGCTGGCCTAATATTACCAATAAGGTTACTATTTCAGTTACTACTAAGCTACTATACAAATGTAACGATGGTGATTATACCAAAACACAGTGAAATAGCCTCAGAAATAAGTGATAGCTTTTGGCTTCTCATGAGAGATGGCAATTATGTTATTTCTTTGTCAAAAATGTAATTGTATGATTTCCTGAGTCAACCTAGTACCATTTGTTGATAAATTTATCCTAGTAGTTTATAGTTCCTAATTGTAATTTTTATCTAATTGTTCGCAACCTCAATTTTATAACTTTCCATTTTATATTTATTTATTTTAGATTCAAGAGATACATGTGCAGGTGTGTTACATGGATATATTTTGCAATGCTGAAGTTTGGGCTTCTATTGACTCCATTACCCAAAATAGTGAGTGTAGTGCCCAATAGGTAGTTTTCAACCCTTGGTCCCTCCATCCCTCCTCCTTCTGAAGTCCCCAATGTCTATTGTTCTCAACTTTATGTCCATGTGTACACGTTATTTACCTCCTACTTATAAGTGAGAATATGTGGTGTTTGATTTTCTGTTTCTGAGTTATTTCACTTAGGATAATGCCTCTAGCTCCATTCATATTGCCGCGAAGGACATAATTTTATTCTTTTTTATGGCTATGTAGTATTCCATGATGTATACGCAGCACATTTTCTTTATCCAGTCCAACATTGAGGTGTACTTAGGTTGATTCTATGAATTTGCTATTGTGAGTAGAGCTGTGATAAACATACAAATGTACATGTCTTTTTGCTGGAACATTTTCTTTTCCTTTGGATGAATACCCAACATTGGGATTGCTGGGTCAAATGATAGTTCTACTTTTAGTTCTTTGAGAAATCTCCATAGTGTTTTCCACAGAGGTTGTACTAATTTACATTCCCACCAACAGTCTATAAGTGTTCCCTCTTCACCACATCCTTGCCAACATCTGATAATTTTTGACTTTTTAGTAATAGCCAGTCGACTGGTGTGAGATCGTATCTCACTGTGGTTTCAATTCGCATTTCTCAGATGATTTGTGATATTGAGCATTTTTTCATATTGTTTATTTTTTGCTTGTGTATTCTGTCTTGAGAATTCTTTGTTCATATTCTTTGTCTACTTTTTGATTGTGTTATTTGCTTTTATCTTGTTGTTTTGCCCAAATTTCTTACAGATTCTGGATATTAGTTCTTTGATGGATGCATAGTTTGCAAATATTTTCTCGCATTCTGTAGGTCGTCTGTTTACCCTGTACATTATTGTTATTTTTTCCTGTGGAGAAACTCTTTGGTTTAATTAAGTCTCAATTGTCAGTTTTTGTTTTTATTGCATTTACTTTTGAGCTCTTAGTAATAAATTCTTTGCCTAAACCAATGTCCAGAAGAGTTTTTCCTAGTTTTTCTTCTAGAGTTTTGATAGTTTGAGGTCTTATATTTAAGTTTTCAATCCATTTTGAGTGAATTTTTGTATATGGTGAGAGGTAGAGGTCCAGTTTCATTGTTTTTCACATGGCTAGTTATTTTTCCCAGCACCATTCATTGAATAGGATGCCCTTCCCTCACTGTTTTTTGTGTGGCCATATTGCCCAAAGCAATCTACAGATTCAATGCAATTCCTATCAAAATATCAACATCATTTTTCACAGAATTAGAATAAAAGCAAATCTAAAATTCATATGGAACCAAAAAAAAATGCTGAATAGCCAAGGTAATCCTAAGCAAAAATAACAGAGCTGGAGGCATACATTATCTGACTTCAAACTATACTACCCGCTATGGCATTCAAAACAGCATGGTACTGGTACAAAAAGAGACACGTAGACTCATGGAGCAGAATAGATAGCTGTCAAGCGAGCTTCAGCTGTCAATTTTGAAAATCAAGCTAGTTCTACTTGTTGATAAATTTAGTTCCATGATTTATATTATACTAAGAATATAGATTTGCATTTATAAGGATGCCATTGAGTCTCTTGATAGTATACCAAGGTGTCTTGTATATTGCATATTCTTTCATTTTAAAAGGTAAACAGAACAGAAGTTGCCTCAAACCAGGCAAGGTAGTGGGATCTGGAGTAATAAAAAAAAAATGAGCCTTTACTTCTCAGTTTCACACATCTGAGACTTAGCCTCAGCAACAGGCATATGCGGGCAGGATGCAAAATGCTGAAGTCTTATTTCTTTTGGGAAGAAAGCCATCTGGCTGGGAGTTTGGGAGAAAAGTTTCGGCCTATAGAATTTTGGAATGGAATTTCTATCTTGATGATTTGAGAGGAGAGAGGGAAGAAGCAGTTTTGGTTTAAATACCACATATTCTCACATTTCTTGCCCAATTTTTATATATTTTCTTGAATAGGTATTTCTTCATTTGCAGTTTTCTCCTAGGACCATTTCCAGTGGCTTTAAATTATTGTTTTGGAAAATGTTTTTCATGATTTCACTGGTCAGCGGAGTCCCTCAATTTCTTACGCTGGAAATTAATTTTTGTGTGTGTGTGTGTGTGTGTGTGTGTGTGTGTGTGTGTGTGTGTGCATGTTTTTTCTTGAGATTTACTACTCACTCAATGATCAGTTCATTGATTGGAATTTCACCTGCTTCTATTGTGCTTGTTTTAGTAAAGGTTTTTCTCAGGTGTATTTTGTATTGTGTAAGTTGAGCTTGATTCCTCTCCCACATGCTGTTGATTGTCTTCACATATTTGGTAATTCTTCATTATTTGACATATTTTTTGGTGGGGGAGGGTCTCTGCTATATCTGCTTTTGCAGTCTTCTTGTGAGAGGTTTGTGGAATACTTTAGGAAATGGTACTCGGAAAGAACAGCAAAAGGCCAGGATAGACTTCTTGGATTTGTGTAGAATATTGGGATGGGTGTTACATAGCTAAGCATCCCCTAATGTATTGTTTTCAAGTAATCACCTTGTCATTTTCCCGTGGGCCTCTTGCATTACCTGGTTCTCCTGTCTTAGAGCAGATGTTCAATTTTTGCAGCAGCCGTCTCTTGTGATTTTGTGTGCCATTTCTTTCATTAATATGATCTTAGTTCTTTTCTGACTTTTAAAGATTTATTATATTTAATGCTTTTCCTAGAGCTACCATTCTTGTTTCTCAGCATGATAATAGATTTATATCCCAAATATATTTTCTGACATTTCTAGATATTTGTGTTGGGAATTTAAGCCTCCAAAGTGTACTCAGCCCATATGAACCAGAATAAAATGTTCCTTTTAAATAGAATTTCTGTCTAGGGTATACTTGATTCTGGGCTCTGATAATACTTTACTTACGAAAAAATGCAATGGCAGTATATGGTAGGAAATATGCAGAATTTGGAGTCAAGCATACCTGGGTTTTGATCCTAACTCTAGTGCTTATAAATCATGTTACTTTAAAGCTATTTAATATCTCTGAATGTTAATTTATGCTTTTGTAAAAATAAAGCCTGGCATAAAGGTTGGCTGTGAGAGTAAAAACAAGTAGCAAATTTAAAGTGCCTAGAATTTATTCAATGATCAATAGATAAAAGTTATTGTTTTCATATAGATTAAAACCTTGCCATTTATGCATTAATTTTCTTTAAATGTCTGTAACTTACACATCAATAAAAATCATGTTAAAATACTAGATGTTTAAATCTAAATTTATGATGAAATATGAACAAATATTTAAAGTATACAATTATGATATATATTGCTATGTAATTCTAGGTGCCTGCTTTCTCATTTATAAATAGGAATAAAGCCCTCCTGAGTGTTATTTTCATTCATCTACCCTCTCATTTCTAGAAAATGTTTGAAAAGGACAATGAAGAGAAAGGAAGGAATAATACAGATTTATAAATTAGTAGAAATGGCCAAATTTTAACTAAGAAATTAATTTCAATTTATCTTTCTTAATTTCTAGCTATTCTGTTGTAAACTGGTTAATTCCATTTTTTTAATTGATTCATACCTTCCTGTAACCTGTAAGCATCACTTAACCTGAAAACTGGGTTATAAACAAATATAGCTTTTAAAATACTAGAGAAGAAAATTGCAACATGTTTTACTCAAATTGAATCAAGAGAAAAGCCCGCTGGTAAAATAAGTTAGACAAAATATTAGAAAGAAATCACCAGATTTTAAATCATAAAGCGTGGAGGGTAATTGCTACTGGAGTTTTCTTAAAGATTCTTAAATTACATGCATAATTATCTAGCTTTGTTTCAAATTATTTGTGAATTGCCTTAAACCCCACATTAACATTTGGGATGGGTCATCTTAAACAATGGAAATCAAATAGGAAAATTTTTGTACAATAAGATAACATGGAACAAGTAGAATCTTTACTAGAGGGTATTTGCCATCCTATTTGTTCTTTTTAACTTTTTCATTAGTAAGACAT
This sequence comes from Homo sapiens, assembly GCF_000001405.40. NCBI lineage: Eukaryota > Metazoa > Chordata > Mammalia > Primates > Hominidae > Homo > Homo sapiens. Next base: position 146,928,357 of record NC_000023.11, read on the forward strand.
TTGTGAATTCAGAAATTGCTCTGCACTTTTATCTTTGTTGATTACAAAAACTTTATGACATTAATCATCACCAAGTAGGTTTCAATTTCTGAAGGAATTTTAAATAAAATGATTAAATGGGTTTATATTTCTTTTTTTTTGTTTTTTTTTTTGAGACGGAGTCTCGCTCTGTCACCCAGGCTGGAGTGCAGTGGCACGATCTCGGCTCACTGCAAGCTCCGCCTCTCTGGTTCATGCCATCCTCCTGCCTCAGCCTCCCGAGTGGCTGGGACTACAGGCGCCCGCCACCATGCCTGGCTACTTTTTTTATTTTTAGTAGAGATGGGGTTTCACCATGTTAGCCAGGATGGTCTCAATCTCCTGACCTCATGATCCTCCCGCCTCGGCCTCCCAAAGTGCTGGGATTACAGGCGTGAGCCACCACACCCGGCCAAATGGGTTTATATTTCTAAAGGAAGCTCTCAGTAAAATTCCTTCCAGATATTTATGAAAAAAATAATGAAGTATCTTTCCTGAATAAGCCAAGTTGCCTGAGCTGATAACTTCAGATGATCAAGCCCTGCTTTATATTCAACCATTACATCCCCACTGGAGATGTCTGTTTTTATCTTTGAACCACTCTATGGACCTTGGTATTCCATATTAATATGCCTTCCAATTAAAGACATAGAAGGAAAACAACAAAAAAGAACCCTCTGTTTTATATTTATCCAAATTGTTATGCAAAATTTCTAGACCCCAACCATCCTGGCACCCTGATCTTGAACTCAGTCTCCAGAATTGTGAGAAAGAAGGTCCTGTTGTTTATAAGCTACCTAGTTTATGACATCTTGTTATAGCAGCCCAAATTAATTAAGATAAAAATTGGTACCGAGGAGTGGGTGTACTGCTGCAATAAATACCTAAAATGTGGAAGTGGCATTGGAACTGGGTAACAGATAGAGGCTTGGGAGTGTTTCGAGGTGCATGCTAGAAAAAGCCTACATTTCTCAATAGGTCATTAAAGGTGATTCTGGTGAGTACTCAGAAGAGGAGAGATGTATAGAAAGCCTCAATCTTCTTAAAGAATATGTAAGTGGTTTTGAACCGAATGTTGGTAAAAATATCGATGGTAAATGCTATTACGATGAGATCTCCTATAGGAATAAGGGACGTATAATGGAGGAAACGTAATGCTTATTATTAAGTGGCGAAGAATTTGGCTGACTTATGTTTATGTCCTAGTGTTTTGTGGAAGTTAAAACTTAATGAGTGATGAAACAGGATGGTTAGCTAAAGAAATGTCTAAGCAAAGTGCTGAAGGAGTACCATGGCTTCTCTTGGTTGCTTATACTGAACTGCAGAAGACAGAAATGATTTATATAAGCTATTTTTAATCAAAAGGGAAACAAAGCTTCAAGCATTCACAACACCAAATTTTCATAAGGTTTTGGAGCACAAGGAACTCTCACTCTTTGCTGGTGGTAGTGCAAAATGGTAGAGACAGTTTAGCAGTCTCTTTCAAAACTAAATATACTCTTATCATATGATCCAGCAATCACATTTCTTGTTTTTAACTCAGATAAATCGAAAACGTATGCACACAAAAACCTGCCTACAGATGTTGAAAGTAGCTTAATGGATAAATAACCTGGGGTATACTCAGTCAGTGGGGTACTATTCAGTGCCAAAAATAAATAGCTATAAAGTCATGAAAGGACATAGAGGAACCTGAAATGGATATTACTAAGTTAAAGAAACCAATTAGAAAAGGCTATCTATTGTGTAAGTCCAATGATATGATATTCTGGAAAAGGCAAAACTAGGGAAACAGTTGAAACAGTAATTGCCAGCATTTGTGGAAGAAGGAGGGATAAATAGGCAGAAAATAGGATTTTTAGGGGAGTGAAACTATTCTGTCTAATACTACGATTGTAGATACAGGCCATGATACATTTTTCAAACCTATCACGTATGTAACACTAAGAATGAACCTTAATGTGATCTATGGCCTTGGGATGATAATGATGTATTGATGTAGGTTCGTCGGTTATAAGAAATATAGTATAATTATAACCACTGTGGTGTGAGATGTTAAGAGTGGAGCATTTGAGGACAGCAAGGTATATAGAAATTCTTTGTACTCTCCACTCAATTTTGCTGTGAAACTAAAACTACTCTAAAATAAGGTTGATTAATTAAAATATGTATAACTAATGGATGGAAACTTTTCAAATTGGGTAGAATACTATACATTATAGAAGACCAGTAAACCTCAAATACAGTAAATACAATGAAAGCTATAACTAGATACATCAGAGCCCAGCTGTTGAAAACCATAGTAAATGAGAAACTATTGAAAGCATCCACAGAAAAATAAGACTTTAAAAGATTAAATGGTCCTGTAAAAGATTAAGGATAACTAGAACGTAGTGAAAACTTCTTTAAAGTGCTGGGATGGGAGGAGGAGAAAATATATCAATCCATCATTCTATATCAAGTGTAAATATCCTTCAATGATAAAGATGTAATAAAATATTTTCAGATAAAGGAAAACAAAAAGAATTATTTTCTTAAAGATCTGCACTATAAGAAGTGCTAAAGAAAGTTCTTCAGAGTAAAGGAAAATAATCCCAAAGAAAAAAATAAGCAATATCAAGAATAGAAAATGTTTGAGTAAATATAAAATATTTTCTCTTAATTTATTTAAATCTATAGGACTCTTTAAACCATGATTATAACATTATTTCGTTGAGTTTTAAATTGATGTAGAAGTAAAACATATAACAATTTTAACAGGAGGGATGGTAAGGGAATGTATAAAAGCTACCTATACAGTTGCTATTTTTCTTCATTTGCTGTGAAGTGGTAGAATAGTATCTCCAAATAGACTGTAAAAGATTAAGGATGTGCACTGCTATCCTTACAATAACCACTGAGTATCTCATATAAAGAGATAGAAAAAAAAGAACTTATTTTTAAGATAAAATCACAAATAGTTTGAAAATAAATGGATGGGAAATTATATACTATGAAAACAGTAAGCATAGGAAGAATAACACAGACATCACCAAAACTAGCCATCAAGACAAACAGAATTTTAAAAGATAAATAAGGTCATTTTATTATGATAAAGGGGCCAGTTTTTCAGGAAGACATCAATATTATAAATGTATGTGTGACTGATATCAGGGCTATAAAACCCATGACCGAAAAAAAATCTTTTAGAATTTTGGAAGTCAGAAGTCTGGAGTCAGTTTGGCTGTGCCAAATATATATATATATATATCATGCCTCCTTTCTGGTGGCTCTAAGGGAAAATTCTTTTCCTTGCCTTTTCCCACTTCCAAGGAATACACAGCAGAGGCCATGCATATTCCTTGGTTTGTAACCCCATTGCTGGACCTTTAAAGTTTATCACTCCAATCTCTACTTCATTTGTCACGTCTTTCTCATTGAAACTGACTCCTCCTACATCCCTCTTATAAGAATCTTTGTTACTGCCTTAGGCCTACCTCAACAATCAAGGATAAATTTACCATCTCAAGATCCTTATCTTGCTTTTCTCTACAAAGCTCCATTTGCCCATAAGATAACATTCACAGGTTCTGAGGATCAGAACATGGACATCTATTGGGGAGGGGCGTTATTTAGTCTACTATAGCATAGTAGGTATTACAATTTTGAATTCATTATGAAAACCTTTTCTACAGTTTCTGGAATTCCAAAATTCCAAAGGATGTGTCTTTTTCTGCTAAACTATATCAAATATTCAAGAAGGAAAAAACCCCATCAACCTTACACAAACTTCTTAGAGAAAATAGAGGAAAGGAATCTCTGCTCAACAAATTTCATGAGACCAGCATAATCCCATTGTCAAAGCCTGATAAAGGCATAAAAAATAATATTACAGACCAATATCACTAATTAATACAGGTATATATTTATATTTACACAGGTATATATTTTTATACATGTATATGTACAGGTATATATTTATATACCTGTATATGTACATGTATATTATTTTAGACATGTATATACAAGAATATATTCTATACATATATTGTACATATTATATGCATATTTTAATATAAATTTATTTATATTTATAAATATGCATTTATGTAAATATGTATTTATATTAAAATATCAACAATATTTTTGTTTAAATATACTATATTTATGGTATACTGATTTAAATATTTAAATATAATAAATATACACTTGTTTATATTTTGTATTATATATATATACACACACATATTTTTTTTTAATTTCAGCCATTCTAGAACATAGGTAGTGGTATCTTATTGTTATTTTAATTTCCAATTGCCTCATGAAAAATGATGTTGAGCATATTTTTAAATGTTTGTTTGCAACATGTCTGTCTTCTGTGTTTAGGTGTCTGTTCAGATCTTTTGTCCATTGTTTAATTGTGTTGCTCATTTACTTATTGAGTTTTAGGAGTTCATTTTGAAACCATCATTGCAAAAGTGTAACAGAGTGAAAGAGATTTTACCTAGCCAACTCCATCCTGCTTCTAACCTCCAAGCTGTCCTTGTTCATTCCTGGGCGTAGGCTGAACTTAACTTTGGGAATAACTTAGTTTTTAGTTTCAAACGAAGACAATAACAGCCCTTTCCTAAAGCAGACCTCCTTCTTGCCTGAGGACGAGGTTGCCTTTGTAGGGCTAACATTAGCCACAAGATTAGAAATTATGGTTTAGGAGTCATGCAGCTGGAGGCTACAAGATTCTGACCCTCCCTAAACTGCTTCTAAGATCAGTGCTTAAGATATTTTACAGACTCTGCACTTGATGGATCAGCTGACACCATCCAGATGGATAAACTGGCTCATATGATCTTGTGGCCACCACCCAGGAACTGACTCAGCACAAGAGGACAGCTTCAATTCCCTATGATTCCGTCTCCAACCCAACTAATCAGTACTCTCAACTCACAGAACTTGCCCCACCCACCAAATTATCCTTAAAAACTCTGATTTTTCAAATGAGACTGATTTGAGTAATAATAAAACTCTGGTCTCCTGCACAGCTGGCTCTGTGTGAATTACTCTTTCTCTATTGCAATTCCCCTCTCTTGATAAATAGGCTCTGTCTAGGCAACGGGCAAGGTGAGCCCATTGGGTAGTTACAATTTTATATTTTGGATGTGTCTAAAATATATGTGTTTTGTAAATATTTCATCCCAGTCTGTGGCTCATGATTTTTTTTTTTCTTAAGAAGTCTTTCACAGTGTAGAAGGATTTAATTATAATAAAGTCAAATTATTACTTTTTTCTTTCTCAAATAATGCTTTTGGTTTTATGTGTGTAGAAACTCATCATCAAAGACAAGGTCACCTATATTTCCTGATATTTTATTTTAGAAGATTTGTAGTTTTGCATTTTACATTTATGCATATGACTCACTTTTTGAGCCAAAATACACATAACATAAAATCTCATAAACAGTGCCATTTAGTGCATTCAAAATGTTGTGCAAACTTTGCCACTCTCTACTTCTAGAACGTTGCCATCACCCGCAAAACAAATGCAATATTCATTCAGCATTTGATCCCCGTTCCTCCTGCCCTTCCTACCCCTCAGTATCTGAAAATCATTATGTCTTTATGGATTTAACTATTATGGATATAAGATTTTTATAGGAATTACATTGAATCTGTAGATCTCAGCGGGGAGTACTGCCATCTTAAAAATATTAACCCTTCCAAGCTATGAACATGAGATGACTTTATATTTATTTTTGTCTTTCTAAATTGTTTTCAGCCATGTTATGTGTTATTAGTATACACATTTTTTTTCTTACTCCCTCAGTTAAAGTTATTGCTAAGCAATATATTCCTTTGGATGCTGTAGTAAATTGAATTATCTTGATTTCCTATTTGTATTTTCATTGCAAATCTGTAGAAAATACTACAGATTTTGAGTGCTGAGTTTGGAATCTTCAACTTTGTTGATTTTGTTTATTAACTCTTAGATTAGAAGAATTTAGTGCTAAAATTTATGACTTTAAATAAATTTTTGGTAACTACTTAAGACTATATTTAGAACCATGTCATCTGTGAATAGAGATAGTTTTACTTCCTCTTTTCTAATTTTAATGTCCTTTGTTTATTTGTGTGCTGAATTGGTCTAAAACTTTCGGGACAATGTTAAAATTAGTAGCAAAAGCAGGTATTCTTTCCTTGATCCTAACCTTAGGGAAAAGATTATGCCTTTCACCTTTGAATATAATGTTAGTGGTAGATTTTTTAAAAATGGACTTTGCATGTTGAGGAAGTACCTTTCTATTTCTGGTTTGTGGAGTGTTTTCATTATGGGAGAGTGTTAGATTTTGTCTGTTTCTTTCAGTGTCAATTTAAATGAGCTTGTACTTTCTTTTTTATTCTATTAATGTTGTTCACTACATTGATTTATTGTCATATGTTGAGCAACTCTTACATTCCTTCAACAAATCCAACTTGGTTATTACGTAGTCCATTTAATATGCTATTGGATTTCATTTGCTAGTAATTGGCTGAAGATTATTTCATTTTTTTTAATTTTTATTTTTTGTGGGTACATAGTAAGTGTATATATTTATGGAGTAGATGAGATATTTTGATACAGGCATACAATGCATGATTTATCACATCAGCATGAACAGGATATGCAACACCTCATGAATTTATACTTTATTTGTCTTACAAACTATCCAATTATACTCTTTTAGTTATTTTAAAATGTACAACGAATTGTTGACTACAGTTATCCTGTTCTGCTATCAAATAGTAGATCATATACATTCCAGTTAACTATATTTTAAAATTTCCCTTCTTTAAGAATTCTTAATTTTTATGTGTATATAGTAAGTATATATATTTATGGATTACATGAGATATTTTGATACGGGCATGCAATGCATAATAATCACATCAGGGTAAATGAGATATCCATCACCTCCTGCATTTATTCTTTGTGTTACAAACAATCAAATTAAACCTCTTTAGTTATTTTACAATGTACAATTAATATAGTCACCCTCTTGTGCTAGTAAATACTAAGTGTTATTTATTCTTCCTATTTTTTTGTACCAATTGACCATCCCCACTTGCCCTCCAACACCCTGTCCAATACCCTTCACATTCTCTTGTAAGCCACCCTGTCCAATACCCTTCAAATCCAGTTGTAAGCATCCTACTCTCTATGTCCATGAATTCAATTATTTTAATTTTTAGCTCCTACAAATAAATCAGAATACATGAAGTTTGTCTTTCTGTGCCTGGTTATTTCATTTAACATAATGACCTCCATTTCCATATTTCCATCCATGTTGTTGGAAATGACAGGATCCCATTTTTTTGTGGCTGAATAGTACTCCATTGTGTGTATGTACCACATTTTCCTTATTCTTTCATTTGTTGATTAACATTTAGGTTGCTTCCAAATCTTGGCTGTTGTGAATAGTGCTGCAACAAACATGGGAGTGCAGGTATCTCTTCAATATACTGATTTCCCTAGTTTTGTGTATATGTCCAGCAGTGGGATTCGTGGATCACATGGAGACTCTATTTTTAGATTCTTAAGGAACCTCCAAAGTGTTCTCCATAATGGTTGTACTAACTTACAGTCCTGTCAACAGTGTACAAGGGTTCCCTTTTCTCCACTTCCTCACCAGCATTGGTTATTGCTTGTTCTTTTGATATAAGCCATGTTAACTGAGGTAAAATGATATGTCATTGTAGCTTTGATTTTCGTTTCTCTGATGGTCAATGATGTTGAGCACTTTTTCATATACTGGTTTGTCATTTGTATGTCTTTTGAGAAATGCCTTTTCAGGTCTTTTCCTCATGTTTTAGTTAGATTATTAGATATTTCCTATAGTCATTTGAACTCCTTACATATTGTGGTTATTAATCCCTTTTCCGATGGGCAGTTTGCAAATATGTTCTTCTGTTCTGTGGGTTGTCACTTCACCTTTTTTATTGCTTCCTTTGCTGTGCAGAAGCTTTTTCACTTGATGTGATCCCATGTGTCCATTTTTACTTTGGTTGCTTATACTTGTGAGAGATCTCTCAAGAAAACTTTGCCCACTCCAATGTCCTGGAGAGTTTCCACAAAGTTTTCCTTTATTAGTTTCATAGTTTGAGGACTTAGATTTAAGTCTTTAATTCATTTAGATTTGATTTTTCTATATGGTGAGAGATATGGGTAAGTTTCATTCTTCTGCATATGGATATTCAGTTTTCCCAGCACCACTTATTGAAGAGACTGTCCTTTCTCCAATTTATGCCCTTAGCACCTTTATTGAAACTGACTTCACCGTAGAAATGTAAAGTTGTTTCTGGGTTTTCTATTCTTTTTCATTGGTTTGTGTGTCTGTTTTTATGCCAATACCATGCTGTTTTTGTTACTATACCTCTGTAGTATAATTTGAAGTCAGGTAATATGATTCTTCCAGTTTTGTTCCTTTTCTTAGGATACCTTTGGCTATTCTGGGTCTTTTGTAGATCAATATAAATTTTAGGATGTTTTTTCTATTTCTGTGAAAAATGTCATTGGTATTTTGATAGAGATAGCATTTTGTCTGTAGATTGCTTTTGGTAGTATGGACATTTCAGCAATATTGTTTCTTCCAATCCATGAATGTGGAATTTCTTTCTTTTTTTTTTTTTTTTTTTTTGGTGTCCTCTTCAAATTCTTTCATCAGTGGTTTATAATTTTCATTGTAGAAATATTTCACTTCTTTGGTTAATTCCTAGGTGTTTCATTTCATTTGTGTCTATTCTAAATGGAATTACATTTTTATTTCTTTTTCACATTGTTCACTGTTGGCATATAGAAATGCTACTGGTTTTTGTGTGTTGGTTTTGTATCTGCAAATTTACTGAACTTGTTCACAAGTTCTAATAACTTTTGGTAGAGGCTGAGGTTTTTTTTACGTATGAGATTATATTATCTGCAAACAAAGATACTTTGACTTTTTCCTTTCCAGTATGGATGCCCTTAATTTCTTTCTCTTGTGTGCTTTGTCTTCCTAGGATTTCTAATACTATGTTGAATAACAGTGGTAAAAGTGGCCATTCTTGCTGAGTTCCTCATCTTAGAGGAAAGGCTTTTATTTTCTCTCCTTTCAGTATGATATTAGCTATGGATCTGTTATATACGGATTTCATTGTGTTGAGGTATGCTCCTTCTATATCTAGGTTTCTGAAGTTTTTTTTTTTAATCATGAAAGGATTTTTGTTGTTGTTGTATGTTTTTTCTTTATTTTGCTTTTTTTTTTTTTTTTTTTTTTTTTTGAGGCAGGATCTGTTTATGTCTCCTGGCTGGAGTGCAGCAGCATGATCAAAACTCACTGCAACTTTCACCTCCCAGGCTCAAGCGATCGTCCCACGTAAGCCTCCTGAGTAGCTGGGACTACAGGTGCTCACCATAATGCCTGGCTAATTTTTTGTATTTTTTTGTAGAGATGGGGTTTTGCCATGTTGCCCAGGCTGGTCTTGAACTCTTGGGCTCAAGTTATCTGCCTAACTTGGCCTCTCAAAGTGATGGGATTATAGGCATGAGCCACTGTACCCAGTCAGGATGCTGAATTCTATTAAATGCTTTTTCAGCATCAATTGAAATGATCATATGGTGTTTGTCCTTCATTCTGTTATTATCATGTATCACATTAATTGATTGATTTGTGTATTTGAGTTATTGAACCATCCTTGCACCCTTGAAATAAATTCCACTTGATCATGATGAGTGATCTTTTTAATGTAGTTTTGAATTTGGTATGCTATTATTTTGTTAAGTATTTCTACATCAATATTCATCAGAGAAATTGGCATGTAATTTTTTTTTGATGTGTCTTTGTCTGGTTTTGGTATCAGGGTAATACCAGCTTTATAGAATGAGTTTGGATGTATTCCCTCCTTCTCTGTTTTTCAGAATAGATTGAGTAGGATTGGTATTAGTTCTTCAAATGTTTGGTACAATTCAGCATTGAAGCCATCAGGTCATGGGCTTTTCCTTTCTGGGACACATTTTCTTACTACTCTAATCTCATTACTTGTTTGGTTCTGTTTGGGTTTTGAATTTCTTCACAGTTTGATCTTGGTAAAGTGTCTGTATGTAAACATTTATTCATTTATTCTAGGTTTTCCAATTAATTTGCATAGAAATAGTCATAGTTCCCTCTAATTATCCTTTGCATGTCTGCAGTAACAGTTGTAATGTCTCCTTTCTCATTATGTTATGTTATTTATTTGAGTCTTGTCTCCTTTTTTCTTAGTCTGGCTAAAGGTTTTTTGGTTTTGTTTATCTTTTAAATAAACCAAATTTTTGCTTCATTGATTCTATTTTTAATTTTTATTTATTTATTTCTGCTCTGATTTTTATTATTTTCTTCTACTTATTTTGGCAGTGGTTTACTCTTACTTTTCTATTTCTTTAACATGCTTCATAAAGTTGTTTGTTTGAAATGTTTTTTACAATTTTGATGTAGGAGCTTATTTCTATAAAATTTAGTCTTTGTACTGCTTTCACTGTCTCCCATAGGTATTGGTATGTTGTGTTTCTCTTTTCGTTGGTTATGAAATAATTTTTAATTTTTTTCTTAATTTAGTATTTATTATTCTTTTAATTGATGCTCTGTTCCTTAAGGAGTATATTGTTTAATTTCCATGTTAGTCCCACAGTTCCTCTTATTATTGATTTCTAGTTTTATTCCATTGAGGTCAGAAAAGATGCTTGATTCAATTTTAATTTTTTAAATTTTTTAAGACTTGTTTTGTCACCTAATATATGGTCTATCCTTGAGTATGATTCACATGCTGAGGAGAAAAATGTGTATTCTGTAGCCATTGGATGAATTGTTCTGTAAATATCTATTAGGTCCATGTGGTCTATATTGAATATTAAATCTGATGTTTCTCTGTTGACTTTCTGTCTGGAAGATCTCCCCAATGCTAAGAGTGAGGTGTTGAAGTCTCCAGCTGTTATTGTATTGGATTCTGTTTCTTTCTGTAGCTCTAACAATGTTTGCTTTACATACCTGGTTGCTCCAGTGTTAGGTGTATATATCTATACAATCATTATATTATCTTGCTGAATTGACCTTTTTATTATCATATAATGAATTTCTTTATCCCTTCTTATAGTTTTTGTCTTACAACCTATTTTGTCTGATGTAAGTATAGCTAATCCTGTTTTTTTTTTTGGTTTTCATTTGCATATAATAGCTTTCTTTATTTATTTATATTTATTTTTAGTCTGTGTGTGTCCTTATAGGTAAAATGTATTTCTTGTAGGCAATAGATCATTGGGTCTTAATTATTTTTTAAATTCATTTGGCCACTCTATGTATTCTCTATGTATTTTGATTGGAGAGTTTAGTCCATTGTCATTCAACATTATTATTATTGATAAGTAAAGACTTACTCTTGCTATCTATTTTGCTTGTTTTCTGGTTTAGTTGTGGACTTCCTTCCCTCCTTCCTTCCTTCCTTCCTCCCTCCCTCCCTCTCTTCCTTCCTTCCTTCCTTCCTCCTGTCTTCCTTTTTGTGATGGTAATTTTCTCAGGCAGTAAGTTTTAATTTCTCACTTTTTATATTTTATGTATCTTTTGTGTCTTTTGTATCTTTTTTGATTTGAGGTTACCATGAGGTTTGCAAGTACTATCATATAATACTTCATTTTAAACTTATGACAACTTAACACTGATTGCATAAACAAACATATAAACTACCAAAGAAGCTGAAAGAAGCAAAAAGAAGACTAATAAAAACTGTACACTTTAACTTCATCCCCCTAATTTTCTGACTTTTCGTGCTTCCTATCTATATCTTCTTGTACGGTCTATGTCTTGAAAAGTTGTTCTAGTTATTATTTTTGATCAGTTCATATTTTAATCTTTCTTCTGAAGATATGAGTGGTTTACACAATATAATTACTGTGTTGTAATATTCTGTGCTTTTCTGTGTACTTAACTAGTACCAGTAAGTTTTGTGCCTTCAGATTATTTATTTTTGCTCAATAATGTCCTTTCCTTTCACATTGAAAAAATCTCCTTAGCATTTCTTCTAGGACAGGTCTGGTGTGGATAAAATCCTTAAACTTTTGTTTGTCTGGGAAAGTCTTTATTTCTTCTTCACCTTTGAAGGATATTTTCACTGGATATATTTCACTGAATATATTATTTCACTGGGTAATTTTTTTTTCAGCACTTTAAGTATGTCATGCTACTCTCTCGACCTGTAAAGTTTCCACTAAGAAGTTTTCTGACATACGTATTGTAGCTCCATTGCATGTTAGTTGTTTATTTTCTCTTGCTGCTTTTAGAAACATTTCTTCATCCTTGACCTTTGAGAGTTGGATTATTAAGTGTCTTTAGGTGGTCTTTTTTTTTTTGGTTCAACCTGCTTTGTGTTCTATATCTTTTCTTCACTTGAATATGAATATCTTTCTCTATCTTTGGTAAGGTCTCTGTTATTATCCCTTAAACTTTCTATCCCGATTTACCACTCTACCTCCTCTTTAAGGGCAATGACTTGTAGATTTGCCCTTTTGTGGCTACTTTCTAGATCTCGTAGGAATGCTTCTTCTTTTTGTTTTTTACTTTTTATTATCTTTTCTCCTCTGACTGTATATTTTCAAATAGCCTGTCTTCAAGCTTCATCCTTTCTGCTGTTAAGAGACTCTGATGCATTCTGCAGTATGTCAATTAAATATTTAAACTCTAGAATTTCTGCTCAATTGTTTTTCATTTAATCCCTTTGCTAAATTTATCTGATAGGATTCTGAATTCATTTTCCACACTATGTTAGATTTTTGTTTAGGTTCCTCAAAACAGTTATTTTGAATTCCCTGTCTGAAAGTTTACGTATCTCAAATATCTCTGTCTGATATGGTTTACCTGTGTCCCCACCCAAATCTCATCTTGAATTGTAGTTCCCATAATTCCCACATCTTGTGGGAGGGACATCATGGGATGTAATTGAATTATGGGGGTAGTTACCCTCATGTTCTTCTCATCATAGTGAGTGAGTTCTCATGAGATATGATGGTTTTATAAGGGACCTTTTCCCCTTTTCCTCAGCACATATCCTTCCTGCCATCACGTGAAGAAGGACACGTTTCGTTCCCCTCCTTCCATGATTGTAAGTTTCCTGAGGCCTTCCCAGCCATGCAGAACTGTGAGTCAATTACAACTCTTTTCTTCATAAATTACCCAATCTTGGACAGTTCTTTATAGTAGCATGAGAATGGACTAATACACTACACTGTCTTTCCAGGACTGGTAACTGGCATATTATTTAGGTCTTTTGGTGAGGTAATGTTTTCCTAAATAGTCTTGATGCTTGTAGATGTTTGTTGGTGTCTGGGCATTGAAGATTTATATGTTTATTGTATTCTTTGCCAGGTGAGGTGTCAGATCCCCGGCGATGGAAAGCAGTCAACTCATGGGTAGTAAAAAGAATGTATTGACAACACTATAGGTTTGAAAAGGAAAGTTTTATTAGATGGAAAGAACAGTGCAGAAGACCGCAGCAGAGGACCTCAGCAAGAGAGAACTAAGTATATCATGGTGGATTTTTCCTAAGGGGTATTTATTAATTTTAAAGTAGGAGCTTAATGAAAATTTGAACTATATTAGCCATATAGATTATGATAAATGACTATATTTGTAGGCATTTTGGTGCCTTAATATCAGCAAGAGCTACACAATGAGTTTTGACATGCACGCATCCTAAAGATGTATACAAATTCCAGTTATTTATAAATGTTTTGGGAAAGAAGCCTGGAACCAGATGCTTGCTTTAGATAATAAGGAAGTCTAGTTACATTCAAATTTTTTAGATAAGAAGTTTTGCCTCTGGATGGCCTGCTAGATGGTCACAAAGTGATTTTTGCTCTCCTCATTTTCCCCCTGAAAAATATTTTGTTTAAAGTTTCTACCCTTTATATTCCTCCATGCTCATGTCTACCTGCTGCCTACTAGGGTCTCAAGAAATGGAAAACAGCACAGTGAAGAGGGGCATTGTATTAGTTCATTTTATGCTACTGATAAAGACATACCCGAAACTGGGAACAAAAAGAGGTTTAGCTGGACTTACAGTTCAATATGGCTGAGGAGGCCTCAGAAACATGGGGGGAGGTGAAAGGCACTTCTTACATGATAGCAGCAAGAGAAAAAAATGAGGAAGAAGCAAAAAAAAGCAGAAACCCCTGAAAAAACCATCAGATCTTGTGAAACTTATTCACTATCATGAAAATAGCATGGGAAAGACTGGTCCCATGATTGAATTATTTTCCCCTGGGTCCCTCCCACAACATGTGGGAATTCTGGGAGATACAATTCAAGTTGAGATTTGGGTGGGGACACAGTCAAACCGTATCATTCAACCCCTGGCCCCTCCAAATCTCATGTCCTCACATTTCCAAACCAATCATGCCTTCCAAACAGTGCCCCAAATTCTTAACTCATTTCAGCATTAACCCAAAAGTCCACAGTTCTAAGTCTCTTCTGAGACAAGCCAAGTCCCTTCTATCTATGAGCCTGCCAAATCAAAAGCAAGCAAGTTACTTCCTAGATACAATGAGGGTACTGGTATGGGGTAAATACAGCCATTCCAAATGGGAGAAATTGGCCAAAACAAAGGGATTACAGAGCCCATGCAAGTCTGAAATCCAGTAGGGCAGTCAACTTTTAAAGCTCCAAAATGATGTCCTTTGACTCCAGGTCACACTGATGCAAAAGCTGGGTTTCCATGGTCTTGGCCAGCTCCAATCTTATGGCTTTGCAGGGTACAGCCTCCTTCCTGGCTGCTTTCATGGGCTGGCATTGTCTGTGACTTTTCCAGGTGCATGGTGCAAGCAGCTGGTGGATCTACCATTCTGCATTCTGGAGGATAATAGCCCTCTTCTCACAGCTCCACTAGGCAGTGCCCCCGTAGGGACTCTGTGTGGGTGCTCTGACCCCACATTTCCCTTCCGCACTGCCCTAGCAGGGGTTCTTCATGAAGTCCATGCCCCTGCAGCAAACTTTTGCCTGGGTATCCAGGCATTTCCATACATCTTCTGAAATCTAGGCACAGGTTCCCAAACCTCAATTCTTGACTTCTGTGCACCTGCAGGCTCAACACCATGTGGAAACTGCCAAGGCTTGTGGCTTCCACCCTCTGAAGGCACAGCCTGAGCTCTATTTTGGCTCCTTTCAGACACAGCTGGAGTGGCTGAGACACAGGACACCAAGTCCCTAGGCTGCATACAGCACGGGAACCCTGGGCTTGGCCCATGAAACCACTTTTTCCTCCTGGGTCTCCGGGCCTGTTGATGTGAGGGGCTGCTGTGATGGTCTCTGACATGATCTGGATGCATTTTCCCCATGGTCTTGGGGATTAACATTAGGCTCCTTGCTACTCAGACAAATTTCTGCAGCCAGCTTGAATTTCTCCTCAAAAAATAGGTTTTTCTTTTCTACTGCATCATCAGGCTGCAAATTTTCTGAACTTTTATGCTCTGTTTCCCTTTTAAAATGGAATGCTTTTAACAGCACCCATGTCATCATTTGAATGCCTTGCTACTTAGAAATTTCTTCCACCAGATACCCTAAATCATCTCTCTCAAGTTCAAAGTTCCACAAATCTCTAGGGCAGGGGCAAAATGCCACCAGTCTCTTTGCTAAAACATAACAAGAGTCACCTTTGCTCCAATTCCCAACAAGTTCCTCATCTCCATCTGAGACCACCTCAGCCTGGACCTTTTTGTTCATATCACTATCAGCAATTTTCTTCAAAGCCATTCAACAAGTCTCTGGGAGTTTCCAAACTTTCCCACGTTTTCCCGTCTTCTTCTGAGCCCTTCAAACTGTTTCAACCTCTGCCTGATACCCAGATCCAAAGTCATTTCCACATTTTTGGGTATCTTTTCAGCAATGCCCCACTGTACTGGTACCAATTTACTGTATTAGTTTTTATGCTGCTGATAAAGACCTACCCGAAACTTGGAACAAAAACAGTTTTAATTGGATTTAGAGTTCCACATAGCTGAGGGGGCCTCAGAATCATGGTGGGAGGCAAAAGGCACTTCTTACTTGACAGCGGCAAGAGAAAGATGAGACAGAAGCAAAAGCGGAAACTCCTGCTAAACCCATCTGATCTCATAAGACTTATTCACTATCACGAGAATAGCATGGGAAAGACCAGAGCCCATGATTCAATTACCTCCCCCTGGCTCCCTCCCACAACATGTGGGGATTCTGGGCAGTACAATTCAAGTTGAGTTTTGGGTGAGGACATAGCCAAACCATATTGGGCATCAAGTCTGGCTATTTTTGCTGAATGTGGGTGTGGAGGGGATAAGTTGCATTTTTCCCCTTCTTACTCTGTCATGAAGGCAATGGAAGGTCATGAAAAACTTGCTCATGAGAGTAAGACCGGATTCCATCAAGAGGCCTCATATAAATGGAAGTTGCTGTTGCAGGCTGGTATTGTGATTGCATAATCACTTGTGGTAGAATTTTTGTAATCTGAAAGATATAAAGTTAATGAGAGCATTAAAAATGCAGGGACCAAACATTAAAAGAAGAATGAAGAGGAATAAAGGTCCAAGGAATGGGAGAAGCCGAGTGATTTTTAGAAACCAATCGATAAAGGCTTTGGTCCAGTCTTGGTTACTTTGAAAAAGTGTGTGTAGCTATTTGGCTTGTTTGAAAATTTCTCAGACATTGGTTTCTACTTCTCCAGACACATTAACATAGGTGCAATAGGTTTTATTGATGACAGCACAGACTCCTTGTTCAGCTAGGAGATAATTTAGTGCTCATCTATAATCAAAAACTATTCCTGCAAGTGAGTCTAAAGATTTCTTTAGCTTTGATACACTTGAGCCAGTTTTTGCTAAGGTTATTTCAAGGGAGGTGGTAATTTCTCATAGTGTGATTTCATGGTATGTAAAGGGTTTAGATAAGGAGCTACAAGATCCCTGAGGCATTTTGGACCTCTCTTTTCCCTTTGGCTCACTCTATTTGGGGGGACTCCACCACAGATAGAGGGTCTGCCTTTGCCTGGATGACCATTCCAGGAATGCCCTTGCTCGAGGGGTCAATTCAAACCTAATGTAAAGGAGAACTCACTTGTAACTTGGGATGTGGTGTTTGTGACAAAGTTGAATCCAAAATTGGGTTCGCAACCAGTAGAGTGTGTCTGTGCACACAGGTTTATTGAGTGTTAAAGTGAAAATAGACTTGCCACCCTGATGGGCAATAATGAATTAACCCTTTTGTCTTAGGCTTCGGGTAACACCAAGAAACAGTCCTTGACAGAAACTGTCAATTGCCAAAGAGGACTTAAATTGGTTCACTGGCAGTACAAGAAATAGAAAGGAATCCTGGCCATTCCCTCACCCCTAAGGGAAATGACAGACAGCTATCTCTTCTCTAGGGCTTCAGAATCCCACTGAAGAGCTGCTTCAGCCAGGGACCTTGAGTTCCCAGGGGTAAGGAAGCAGAGCATTGAGGGAAGCAGGGAGAAAAAGGAAGGGAGAAATTCCAGTAAAGTACCCATGCAAGCCACCAAGATGCCGGGCGAGGTGTCAGAGCCCTAGTAATGAAAAGTGGTTGACTTATGGGTAGTGAGAAGAATTTACTGACAACAGCATCGGTTTGAAAAGGAAAGTTTTGTTGGAAAGAACGCTGCAGAAGAGTGCAGTGGGGCACCTCAGCAAGGGAGGACTGAATGCACCATGGTCAGTTTTTCCTTAGGGGCATTTATGAATCTTAAAGCAAGAGCTTAAGGATAGTTTGGACCATATTAGCCATGTAGGTCATGATAAATGATTACATTTGTAGACATTTTTGTGCCTTAATGTCCCTGTTCTAGAAATGGTCAATTACAAAGCACAACATAAGACTGGAACATTGGAGTTAAGTAGCAGAGATCAAAAGTAAGTACTAGTACAATTCATGTAATTCAGCATTGCTTTGATTTATACATTATTTTTCCTTCTTCTACAATTCCTCTTTAAAAAAAAAAAAATCTTGCTCTCATTACATTTCCTCAGCCAGACACAAGATTCTTATGCTATTCTATCATTTCTTGTAAGCAACCAATACATATTAATTTTCTTCTTTTGTTGCTTAAATATTTATTAAGCATTCTGCATGCCATATTTAGTGTACTAGATGCTGTTGGTATAAATAGCGGTTGCAATATATTCATTACATTACTTCCAACGTAGGCTTAACCTTTTTTCCTCTCCCCACTGCATCATCAATTTTTCTCTTCACTCGAACATTTTCACCAGCACACAAATATGATGTAAAATCGTCAATCTAAAAAAAAAAATCTAGAAATCACATATCCCCCTAGCCGTCCTTCTTTTTTTTTTGTTCCTTTTAGATAAAAGCTCTTTAAAATTGTTAACTATACTTGTTGTCTCCATTTCTCTCCTTTTGTCACCATTGGCCCATTTCCAATCAGGTTTTCCCTATGAAGATTTCACTGCACACTTCAGTAATAAGGACCAGTTTTTTGTTTTGTTTGTTTGTTTGTTTGTTTTTGAGACGGAGTCTTTCTCCGTCGTCAGGCTAGAGTGCAGTGGCGTGATCTCGGCTCACTGCAACCTCCCCCTCCCGGGTTCAAGCGATTCTGTCGCCTCAGCCTCCTGAGTAGCTGGGATTACAGATGCCTGCCACTACGCAATAAGGACCAGTTTTTTAAATTCATCTTATAAACACGGTCACTCTGTTTTTGAAAGTTTTACGTCATTTGGCTTTCAGGAGCCCACATCCTGGCTTGCCTTCTGTCTCATTAGTCACTCCTCAGTCTCCTGTGTGGAATTGTTTGAAACCATTTTCCTAGGTGATCATATTTAGTTTTATGTTTATGTTTGCTGGTTTTTTTTTTTTCTTTTTTTGAGACGGAGTCTCACTCTGTCACCAGGGTGGAGTGCAGTGGTGCGGTCTCGGCTCACTGCAACCTCTGCCTCCCGGGTTCAAGTCATTCTCCTGCCTCAGCTTCCCGAGTAGGGGGACTACAGGCATGTGCCACCATGCCCAGATAATTTTTGTATTTTTAGTAGAGATGGTATTTCACCATGTTGGCCAGGAGGGTCTCAATCTCTTGACCTCGTGATCCACCCTCCTCGGCCTCGCAAAGTGCTGGGATTACAGGCGTGAGCCACCGCGCCCAGCCACTGGGTTTTATTTTTTTAGTTTTTGTATCAGTTGGTTGTGGTATGGTATAATTTTCATACAATAAAATACATAGACTGTAAGAGCACAGTTTGATGAACTTTGAGAAACATAGAAATACCTGTAACCACTACCCCAATAAAGTTACAGAATATTCCCATCACCACAAAAGTTCTTTCATGCCACTTCACAGTCTAATACACTTATCCTTCTGAAACAATCTCATGTGACTTCTACCATACGTTAGTTCTGAACATTCTAAAAATTCATATAAATTGAACGACGTACATGAACTTTTTTTTTGCTTGTCTCGCCTCTCTAAAGATAACAGTTCTGTTTGTATGCCTCAGCAGTTCATTCCTTTGGTTAAATACGTAGGATGGGAATTGTTGCACCATATGGTGAGTGCATGTTTAAAGTGTATAAGAAACTGTCTTTTTCCCCCAAAGTCACAAACCATTTTACATTACCACCAGCAAAGCAGGAGAGTTCCACTTGTTCCACATTCTCTCCAACACTTGGTATTGTTGTTGTTGTTGTTTTTAATCTTAGGCATTCTACTGGGTTTGAGGTTATCACATTGCAGTTTTTATTTTCATTTTGCTAATGATTAATAACACTGAACATATTTTCATGTTTTATTTGCTATTTTTATATACACTTTCATGAGGAGTGTGCTCACATTATTTGACCTTTTTTTAAGTTAGTTATTTTTCTTCTTATGTCTGTATTTCAGTAACTATCTATCTGGGTGTATGTATGTATACATATAAGTATACATACTATATATTGATATTATATATGGGTTTATATTATATTATATCAATTATAATATAATTGATATTATATATGGGTTACCCTTACGTATATATATATATACACACACATACACACTAACATATATTATTATATAATTAGTGTTACACTTATATATACACTAATACTTATGGCATATACTTATATATTTTTGTGTACTATGTGTATGTTACTACATGTAGTGGGTTTGTAATATACATACATATATGTGTGTGTGTGTATATATATATGTTGGGACCAATGATCAGAAAATATGTGCACTCTCTTGTCCTCTCATTTCTATTTCTGTCTACAAGTCTGTTGAATATGTCTTTATCTTTACTTCTTTGTCATTATAGTAGGCTGAATATGGCTATGCTTTAGCTCTTAACATTAAAGTATACCTTTTTTTCCCCAAATTGTTACCTATTAACCAAAAAGCATTTATTGACTGACTAATCTTCCTTTCCCTATTTGAAGTGCAAACAATATCAACTCCTATATTGTAATGTTTGCCTGGCTAAATATATGGACCCTCTATTCCAATCTACTTACTTGTTGATAATGCTATACTACCTCATTGCTTTAATTTCTGTAGTGCTAATAATATGTAGCAGATAAATATCTCTCAATTATTTTAATTTTAATATGTAGCAGATAAATATCCTCTCAATTATTTTATTTTAAAGGTATATTCTGGATAGTCTTACAAACTTGTTTTTTTTTTAATTAGTTTTGGAATTATTTTATCAAACACTCCTAGTGCGAACACTCTAAAATGAACAGACATGAAAGAAAGAAGCAAGTTTGTATTGTGATTGAGTATGATCTACAAAATAATCGAGGGAGAATTCAAATCTTTACAATATTGAGTGTATCAAAGAACAATCTATGATTGACAAAAATGTGTGTAGCGCTCTTTAAACCCTCCAAATTCTGCATTTAAAACACAAGAAGTTATGGACAAATAGATTACAGCCAAAATTACACAAATTTCTGTCCTCTGCTAAAACAAAAACCCAAAAAACAAAACAAAATGAAAACACTCATAAACCTACTTAATGTACGATTAGTAGGTAACAGCTAGCTGTTCTCCTTCATCCCGGGGTTAACAACTACTTTTCTCCACTCCTTCATTCACTGCTACTATTCTTCATAACCAACCAACATCACTTCTTGTTGTATCACATCCCAGCTCACTTTCCTGGTATTTTAAATTAGAAAGTGGAAAACACCATATAGGTAATTTTTTACTCAAGAGAACACCATGGCCATTTTATTGTAGAGTGCATTATTAAGTGTATAGCTTGAAGGAATGGTCATGGGAATCCACCTTTCATATTCACAATACTCCCAAACAAAAAAGAATATTTTACCAGGGAAATATTAGTTAATTCCAGAATTGCTCCCATTGCAGGAGGAGATTGCAGATGGAGGTGTTGTATGTGACTGTTTTACATGGATTCTTCGCTCTGGTAGCAGATGTTGAAGAAGCTCTATGAATGTCCTGTCTCTATGTCCCAGGTGGATCTTCAGTTTCTTCCATCTCTCTGTCAACTAAATGCAGTTTGCTCAATCTTACAGTCTTTAGTTACTGCCCCATTGCTTCCTATTGTCTTCTTTACTTCATTGTTTGAATTAGCTGGCCCTCCATGCCTGCTTTGCCATGGCATGTTGTCCTTCAGATTTTTTTAGCTTCATGTTAATAGTGTCAAGCCTCTGATAATGGTAGTAAGTGCAAGTAACATTTATTAAGCTCTTAGCTTATATAACTGAATTCTGATTTTGACATCCCGTGGTAGGTGCTACCATGACCTCATTTTCACAAAAAGAAATAGAGGTTTACATAGATTAAAGCACTGCTCCATTTTGACAGATCATCAATTGACAGAGTGGGAGTTTGTAAACAGGTCTATTTGACTTGAGACCTTCATTATCTTAACCACAACTGATTGACATCTAATATAGACTTATCCCATTCTCTTACCTGCTCTTGCTTTTAGCTCTGAAAGCTTCAGCCCAGTTTGCAGTTCTGTGCCTTTCACTATTCCCTATTTCCACTTATTTAAGATGGGCATTCAAAATAGTACTTTTCAAAACAATTTGACAATGAGACAAAGAAGGGAATATGGTGGTGGCTGGAGGAGGAAGTGGAGTTTAGGTTAATTTTCTTTAAATGTTGGAGATTTGAATATGTTTCCAAGTTGCAGAAAAGATGCCAGGATTGAGCAAGAGAGATTGAACATACAAGAAAAATGCTCTTCTGACTTTGTTTTCCTGTTTATGTTGACAGTCAAAAGTGAGGAAACAGAGGGAAAAAAAGGCAATTAACAAAGATACAAGAAAGTATTTCATATAGCCAAAGGATATAAGTTTCTACATTGAAAAGGGAGGGCTATCAAATGCATAGCAAAAGGAAGGGTCATGACTGACACTATGAGACATCATCAAAAGATTTTAGGATACTAAGGATAAAGAGAAAATCTTAAAAGCTTTCTTTAGCAGTCAGGATGCTTCAGGCTGAAAACAAAAAAAAAAAAAAAAAGAAAAGAAAATTCTCACTCAAACTTGCTTAAGTAATAATCAAATGTATTACCTTACTAAGTAAACGACATTATAGAAGTAGGTTAGGTTCCAGTAATTGAATGATTAGTAGCTCGGTTGAGGTCATCAAGGACCCTGATTCTATCTGCCCGTTACTTCTTCCTGTGAATCTCCCTAAGTCTGCTTTCCTTAATGTTCACAAGATAGCTGATGGTGACAATGAGGGCTACAATATTTCTAGTTCACATACAGAAGAAGATTGAGAGCCCCCTCCTTCATCAATATGCACGTGTACTTTCCTTCAGTATGAGAGGGTAATTTATGCCACACACTCTCTTATGCTGTTTGGCTTAAACTAATCAGGATACCCCTATAAAATGTGGATGGAATAAATATTCAAACAAATTTGGGATGAGTGACTGTTGGATAGGTAATAAAAATGTCTCACAATTTCAGGTGATAAAAACCAGATCATCTGAAAAAAAAAAATAGGATCTGAAGGGTGTTGTATTTCTTAACAGCAGCAGTGGAAGATAAAACAGACTTGAATAAAACTTTCAAAATGCTTAAGAAAAATAATGTCTCATGTAAAATTCTATCCTTATTCTATTCTGATATATTAAACATGAGATAACATTAAATTCTCAGTATTTGAAGTCTCAAAAAGTTACCTTCTAAGTATAATTTTTATAAATTTATCTGAGAATATGCTCCACCAAAGTCACTGATACACCAAGAACAAAGGAGAAATGAGATCCAAGACACAGTGAATCCACATTGAACTAACAGAAAATAAAAATGAAAATCCAGGATAACCGCTGTACAATAGGTCTAGAGGGTAACCAGTCCAAATTGGAAGAGGAGACTATGAGGCTCTAGAAAGGAGGGCTCTATAAAAATAAAAAGGACAAAAATTTGCTACATGAAGTTTATCTTTTTGAAGATAAATCAAGGGATTTTTAAATTATATAAAAGACTAGTTAAAATGCACATGGATGACTAAAAAAATGAAGACATAAATTAGGAAAAACGGAAAGTTGTATAAAAGAGAAAATATGGTCATAGTCTAGTACCTGGTTCTTCAGTGAAGAAATTTTATGGAATGATAATAACTAAGTAAAAAATATATTGGGGTCTCCGAAGGGTCCAATAAAGAGCTCCTTTTTTCTACCTGGAATTCTGACAAATTGAGAAATAAAGAATATTGGATTGGAAGGCAGATACCACTGTTTTTACTTGCAAAAGCAGGGGACATAGACTAGGGCAAGAGGAAGAGCAAAATGGACCTCTAACCAAATGACAGGCAGGCTCCCTCACCCAGTCATAACAACATTGGATAAGGAAGTCCTCCTATAGGAGAGCAAAGCAAACCCTGAAGGAGCACTGGGGAGCAATTCTTCCTGTGGAAGTCTCATTCTGAAGTAAGGCAGAGATGAGTAAAACGTGCTGCTTTATTTATTTTTCTGAATTTATCTTCCAAATGTCATGTACCTCTCCTAGTGTGGTGTGAGTAAAGCAGCAGGATAAAAGGCCAAGAGTAATCGTAATAGGTCTCCGTTCACTTAGAAGCAACAGGGATGAGAAATAGGCAGTCTATAAGCTATCTAATCAGAAATTTGGGCT
The DNA here is from genome assembly GCF_000001405.40 of Homo sapiens. Classification (NCBI taxonomy): domain Eukaryota; kingdom Metazoa; phylum Chordata; class Mammalia; order Primates; family Hominidae; genus Homo; species Homo sapiens. The sequence goes on from NC_000023.11 coordinate 146,952,484, forward strand.
CGTCTTGGGAGGATGGCAGGGTGTGGGTGACAAATGAGAGTGAAGAGTATTAAGGGAGCTAAATGTTGTCTTTCATAATGATAAAACAATAGAAAATGTGCAAACGTATTGTTTAGAGCTGTAGTGAGTTGAATACCAGATAACATAGCAAAATGGGTTGAATGTAGAAATGTGTGAGATTGTACAGTGGGAAGTGATGGGATAGAGAGCTAGTAATTTTTGTTATGCACCTTCCAGTAGTGTGTATTTATTTTGGATAATTCAAAACATATGTATGTATTATGTTAATAAAACATTAAAGATATTTTAAAAGACTTGTCAAAAACATGACCTTGATATAATGAAAATATTGCCCAAGTATAGCTCTACTTTAAAATCTGAGAGGTAAAATTCAAATATTGTTCTGAAAATGTAAGAGCATCATTACTTCTGGACAAGCAAGAGAAGTCCAAGCTTAATTCAAACCTATGGTTATTGTTACCTAGACTTGCAACCTGCTATGCTTTGTTTGGATTTCACCTAAATATAAAACTGTGGAATTAACATATGCTCTCATTTCTTCATAAATGTTTGTTTACCGTTATATCCAACATGACCAATATATTTTATTTTTAAATTCTTTATTATGAAACTTAACAGATATATAAAAGTATTTGGTTAGTTCATTAAATTAGTTTGTTAGTTTATTAAACTAGTTTAATAAAATCCCATGAACTCTTCTTGCATCTTCTTGACCAATTTTATGTCATGTGTGCCCCCTCACTGGCTTAGTTAAAGCAAATACATGTTTAATTCATCCTTAAATTAAAACCTTAATGTTTTCTGTCCATGGTGTCCAAAGAGAGTAGCCAATTTTTAAAATATGATTATTGCTATATAGGTAGAATTGTATCTTATAGCATCGTAATTAAAATTTGTTTATGAAATGATTTTACACTGTGACAAACTAAATTTAGTACTTCATTGATCTATTTGGTTGATTTGTTTAAATGAAAAATGCCAATATCAGTGACCAAGACATTAATTAGGTATTTTTCTTTTGGATATAACTGTATATAAATATAATTTAAGGTTTTTATATTTTTATTTTTATTTTAGTTTGTCAGTTTCAAATACTCATGTATCTGATTGTCAATGCTGGAGAGCTGGGGCCAGGGCAGTAGTTGATGAATATCACCTGACTGTCTCCTGCAGAAAAAGCATTCCCAGAAGCACGGAGAAGTGAGGAGAAAAGGCAATGCACCTGGAGCTGGAGACCAAGGCCCTGTTCTTACTGATGGCCCTTGGAGCAGATATTTGAATTGGAGAGATAAAACCGTGGTTTTTGGGGTGTTAATTTTGGTGGCTGATGCATTCTGTGATTGATTTGGCTATTACAACTGGTATTGATTTTAAACACATTAATTGCAAAATCTCAATTGTGATTTGATTTCTGTATTTACAATACTAAAAACGAGGCTTTCGCCAGGAGAAGACAATTGGCAGTACTCAGTTGGAAGTGCTTAATTGTTAATATATATCAGCCGTGGTTCTTCAGCGTCGTCAGTGTTGCTCAGTCTTGCTCTTTGTGGCGACTACTGAATGCTTGAAAAATTCTCTCCTATACTCCCACTCTGCACTGTAGAAGAGAAAGAGAGGAGAGTGGAAGAAAAAAGAGAGGGAGAGGAGAAAGAAAGAGAGGAGAGAGAAACATGGGCATGGATGATACATAAGGTAGTTGTAAACTGTGATCAGCTTTGATAATAACTAGATAAATTCTTTTAATACAAAAATATATAAGGCATTTTGCCTTTTTTTCAAATTTCAAATAAATGGATTTGTATAGAATGTAGTCTGTTGCCCAGAGTTTTCATTTAGCATAATGCATTTGAGATTTATCCATGTTGTTGTATATTCTTTTTATTGCTGAGTAGTATTCCATTGTGTGGATATACCAGTTTGTTTATCCATTAACCTTTGATGGATATTTGGGTTTTTTTCAATATGAGGCTCTTATAAATAAACCTTCTGTAATCAGGTCTTTGTGTAGTCACACAGTTTGTTTGTTTGTTTGTTTTTTAAAAAGATGTTAGTATTGTAATTGTGTTTAATAAGAAACTGTTCAGTATTTCTGCATGTCTACCAAAAATACATGAAATGTTAGTTGCTTCTTTTAAAATACTTGGTATGTTTTTGCTTTTTTATTTTAGCAACTTAATATGTGTGTATTATAACCTCATTGTGGTTTTAAATTACATTTTCCTCAGTAACTAATAATGCTGAGCATCTTTTAATGTATTTAATGGTCATTCATATATCTCCTCATGAAATGTCTGTTAAAATTGTATGCTCATTTAGAAAAATCAGGATGATTGTCTTGTTGAGCTTTGAAAGCTCTTTGCATATTATGAATACAAGTTCTTTATTAGACATACATTTTACAAACATTTTTTCCAGTCTTTTTCATTAACTTAGCTTTTGGAGAGCAAAAAAATTTTAATGTGATGAAGTATAACTTATTTCTTGTTTGATAGCTTATAAGTTTCAGTTTTAGGGGTTTTCTTTAAATACATGCCATTCATTTATTCTGAATCTTATATTGATAGATAATTCCAGAAGATTTCAGCATAGCAGATAAAATACAGCAAATCCTAACCAGCACAGGTTTGAGTGACAAACGGGCCGGTTCCATGGACACAGGTGACTTCATCAGGTATTTTCATAAGTGTTTACATGTCTTTACTGTGACACCTTCAGATTAGAGATTTTAAAGGCTTTTAAGCGGTATAAGGTGCTTCCTGGGAGAGTTATTGCATAGCACTTCCATGGCATGGAATAGTATTTGGTGTAGAAGATGAAGGCTAGTTAGCTGCAGCAGAATGAACATTTCTTTAAGAACAGTAGTAAAGAACAGTCCAAGCCAGAATATTGCCTCTGTGTTAATGTGGTGTGCATGTTCCTCGCTCCCTGCTCCCTCCCCAACTCTCCTTCACAGTCTTAGTATTAATAGCGTATCCCTCCAAAATAGTCCGTAAGGTAGAAAAATCATAATACATGTAGCTGGATCTGATTTTTAAAATTTGCTTACTGGGAATAGCTGTTGTTAAGTCGATCTTAAGCATAGAATAATGTCAGTTAGAATCCTACCTGGCTATCCATTTCATAATGATATAGTTAGTTTTGTAACCTGAGGCAAGTTCTATACTTCTCAAGTAAAAAGATGTCATAATTATCTAGGTAATTTAGACCAAAATTTGTTTTGCTTGAATGGAGCAAGTAAGTCTTATGAAAATAGAATAAGACTTCAATTAATTACCCAGGTAATTATAACCTGTAGTTACTGTTTTTAATCATCAACATGTTAACTTTCAGAAGTTCTTGCCTATTTAGCCGATTCACTCTTAAAGCTTCCATGTTCTAGAGGCTGAATAAAATATGAGGGTAGATTGTTGTAAAAGTCATTGGTTTGACCTTTTGTATGCTGGAAACACAGTTGTATATGGAGTTATATTTTATTGACTGGCTAGCAGTACTACTGAGTCTTTTTAGATGTTAATCCTAGACTTTGAATACTATTCATAAGTACCTACTTTGCTTTCTCAGACAATTTATCTGGATCTGTTTCTATGGGCCAGTCTAAAAATAACCTCAGGTCTAAATAGAAACATTTTATCTTTTCGTTCATTTTCACTAAATTTCCTCAAAGTTATTGAGCATGTGCAGTTTATTAACTAGAATCTAATAAGTACATAGGTATCTACAGAGAGGAATGATGTGTATTTAATTTGAATATAAATAACAGCTCAAGAGAGGAAGAATGGGCATGTAAGATTGGTCATTCATCTGACTTCTGCCAATTCCAAACAACTTCCTGTTCAGTTACCATGTTGCAATGAAACAAGTGCCAATGAGTTTTAGGTTTTCAATTGAGTCTGTATAATCCATGTCAAATTAATTTTGAACATGGTATGAGGTAAGAATTTCAATCAGGTTATTTGCATTTCCATATACATTTTAGAAATAGTTTATTAATATCTAAATTAAACTCAAGGTGAAGCAAGATGGCAGAATAGAACGCTCCATCAATCATCCCCATGCCCACAAGGAAACCAAGTTAACAACTATCTACACAGGAGAGAAAAAAAAAAAAAAAACACCTTCATTAGAACCAAAAATATGGTGAACACTCATAGTATCTGGTTTTAACTTTATATCACTGAAGAGATAGAAAAAGCAGTCCAGAATCCCAGATGTCACCTCTCCCCAACATGCAGGAGTGGCGGAATGGTGCAAAGAGTGTCTCTGGGTACTGGGGAAGGGAAAACACAGCAATTGTGAGGCATTGAACTTAGTGCTGTTCTGTTAGAGCAGAAAGAAAAACCAAACCAAACAGCTGATCCACCCACAGAGGAAGTATTTAAACCAGCTCTAGTCAGAGAGGAATCACCTACCCTGGGGATCTGAACCTGAGTGCTTACAAGCCTCACCACAGAAAGCTACAGCACTCTGTGTCTCCAAGTAAATTCGAAAGTCGGTCTAGGCCATGAAGGCTGCAACACTTAGGAAAGTAATAGTGCTGAACTAGGCCCAGAGAGAGTGAACTGGGAGGGTACAAGACATACTAAGACACAAGCAGGGACACCAAAGGTAGTGCTGCCATTACCCCTCCCCTAACTGCAGGCTGCACAATGTTTCTACAAAACATTTATACACTTGCATAACAAGTAAATATACAAGGATGTTTCTTACTGTTACGGGAAGTCAGGGGCTCCGAATGGAGGGACCGGCTGGAGCCGCGGCAGAGGAAACATAAATTGTGAAGATTTCATGGATGTTTATCATTTCCCTAATAATACTCTTATAATTTCTTATGCCTGTCTTAATCTCTTAATCCTGTTATCTTCGTAAGCTGAGGATGTACATCACCTCAGGTCCACTGTGATGATTGCGTTAACTGTACAAATTGATTATAAAATGTGTGTTTGAACAATATGAAATCAGTGCACCTTGAAAAAGAACAGAATAACAGTGATTTTAGGGAACAAGGGAAGACAACGATGAGGTCTGACTGCCTGTGGGGTTGGGCAAAAAGAGCCATATTTTTCTTGTTGCAGAGAGCCTATAAACAGACGTGCAAGTAGGAGAGATATCGCTAAATTTTTTTCCTAGCAAGGAATATAATATTAAGACCCTAGGAAAAGAATTGCATTCCTGGGGGTAGGTCGATAAATGGCCGCTCTGGGAGTGTCTGTCTTCTGTGGTTGAGATAAGGACTGAAATACTCCCTGGTCTCCTGCAGTACCCTCAGGCTTATTAGGGTGGGGAAAAAACTGCTCCCCGGTAAATTTGAGGTCAGACAGGTTCTCTGCTCTCTGACCCTGTTTTCTGTTGTTTAAGATGTTTATCAAGACAATACGCGCGCAGCTGAACATAGACCCTTATCAGGAGTTTTTGATTTTGCCCTTTGCCTTGTGATCTTTGCTTTGCCCTTTGTCTTGTGATCTTTGCTTTGCCCTTTGCCTTGTGATCTTTATTGGCCTCAGAAGCATGTGGTCTTTGTTCTCTTTTTTGCCCTTTGAAGCATATGATCTTTGTGACCTACTCCCTGTTCATACTTCATACACCCCCTCCCCTTTTGAAATCCTTAATAAAACTTGCTGGTTTTGCGGCTCAGGTGAGCATCACGGACCTACCCATATGTGATGTCACCCCCGGCGGCACAGCTGTAAAATTCCTCTCTTTGTACTCTTTCTCTTTATTTCTCAGACTGGCTGACACTTAGGGGAAATAGAACCTATGTTGAAATATTGGGGGTGGGTTCCCCTGATACCTTGCAGCATTGTTTATGATAATATTGGAAACAACCCAAATAGCCAGCAACTAGTGACTAACGTGTTATATCCATAGAATGCAAGAATATATAGTACCTACAACATTTATTGTGTCAAGAAAATATTTGCCTTTCGTTCCAGCTTATTCAATTGTGACAGTTTATTTTATAATAAATTGTCAATACTTTAGGCAAAATTTTAAGATTTGTTGACAGTGCTATGTGAATGTCAGATTTGTTGACATTGCTACATGAATTATTTCAATCAATGAGAGAGTAAAGAAAACAGGCAGGAGTATTTAAAACTTGTTTGAGCATCTTTATAAACTTCTGTTGCTATCTTGAAAAATTTCAGTTTGTCCAACTCAAGTAAGCCCTCCTTTTAAAAGGTCCCTAGATGCAAAAAAAGATAAAAGTGTTAAATCTTTAAGAAAACTGATTTGTTTGAATAAGTAAATTTAACTTGAATTCTCAGTACTCCAAAGCTTCTACTGTTGGAATTTTCTTTTGTGACACCAGAAATTCTCTCATATAATGCTGCCTGCTAAAGTCAGAAGAGGTTTATTTTAAATGTCCTTGTAGTATTAGAAATGTGTGCTATTAATCATGAAAGTCAAGAAAAACATCAGAAAAAATATGAAAGTATTTGAGAAACTGGAAAGACTCAAAGTTTAAGTCCTGTGGTAGGTTACTGGTGTCTGAAAATTAAAGTACCCAATCCTTAGTAAGGTAAATTATTTTTTGGTACACATAAAAGTCTATAGTCAAAATTCAATTTCTTTATGCTAAGTTAATTTTTTGATAGAAGAATATGTTGATCAGAAGGAGCTAGTATGATAGAAAAAAATCAATGAACTTGGGATCAGAAGACTTACAACTAAGTGTCAACTATACCTCTTACTCTGTGACCTTGTACAATTTAATCTCTCTGAGCCTTATTTTTGTCATTTACAAAGCAAAGATACTTCTACCTTCTAAGTTTGACAGCATATAGTACAGGAACTCATGTATTATTGTACCTAAATATAATCCAAGGAGGAATTAAAAAACAACATTAAAAATAGGTCTACTGGGAATTTCTCAGTTCAACCTCAACAGAAAGCATTCAGTCATTTTTCTTAGAGTTATTTCTTAATTATAACTGTAGAATTAGATGGAATAAAGTTTGGCTAGTGTTACTCTGGATGTAATGGTGCTGAGGTGGCTCTGAAATGCTTAAAACAGTGTGTTTCTCAGAAAGCACACAACAGTTTGTGTTTTTGTTTTTCCCCAAACCTGAACAATATATGGATCACACTGAAAGAAAAATATTTCCAGGTGTTGACTTATTTTTATTTTAATGGCTAGTTAAGTACTCACAATCATAAAGCTAAGAATAAACTCATCCCCATAGCTCTTACACACCTATAAAATTGAAACATTTTTAGAAATAAAAACACATTTATGTAAGCAATGAAATTCAAATTCACAATATTAATTTCATATGAAAGATGTTTTTCAACAAATCTCTCCTCACAATACGAGCATGGTAATGACTATTGCTATTGTGCAAATTCTTTCAAGAATTCAACATACCTATACCACCTTGTGTCTTGGGGTAACTCAATTTAAGAGATACTGCTTTAAATTGTTGCTACATTTTTGGAACCCAACTGTTGTGTTACACACTAGCACAGGTGACTGGTTCCCTGGAATCGTCCATGATCTTTTCTAGGAAATTTTCTAAATGGACAGATGTAATAGGGATGCTTTTAAGAATTCCTCACCACACTGATATTCCTGAAGCATCTATAAGCTACGGCTTCCTGTGCACAAAAGCCTGTGATTTTGGGCCTTGCATGCAGTATGTTAGACATATCATATATAATCAGTGTTTCCTCTAATCCATCCTGTTAAAGCGAACTGAATATATCCTGAGGAATACTCTGTATTTCTATATTTGAGTCCTTGAGGACGAACTACAACCTAACTTAATAGGTAGACAAAATTGAAAAGCTAACGTAGGAGTATGCACCTGTAACAATAGCTAAGTTTTGGCCAATCCCAGCGGCCATAATTCAAATATTCATACCTTGCTGAGTGTTCAAATTGTGTTCAAATAAGGCAAATGCTGAGCTGTAACCAATCCATCCATTCTGTACCTCACTACGGATTTCTGTAGGTCATTTCCCTTCTTTTCCTGTATAAATCTTCTTCCACCACATGGCTGCACTGGAGTTTCTGTGAATCTGCTGTGATTCTGGGGGCTGCCTGATTGGAGAATCATTCATTGCTTAAACTCCTTTGAATTTAATTCAGCTGACGTTTTTTCTTTTATCAATCCTCACGTTCTGCTGGGTAACTCCTCCTTTAGACCATATCTGATTCATGTTTATGCCTTAAACACAAACTAGAAAAACTTACTAGCTATTCTTTAATAAATCCCATGACATTCTGATTTTCCAGGTTTGCTTACTCTTCTCTATCTGAAACACTTATCATACCACATCATCTTCCAAGACTTCATTTGAGTCTTATGACATGCCTTGTCATCATGTTCCACACCACAGATATTTCCTGAAATGCTGATTATATAATAATTATGAATCTATCACACTCTTAATACTTCTCTTCCCCTACTCCTTCACTTCATCTCTCTGTCAATAACTTGAAGAAAAACAATACAAATACTCATCTTTCAACCCTGTATTGCTCCAGTTAATAAAGTAATTACTCAAATTAAGCAACTTTTCATATTTATACATAAAAAGACTTTGTTTTAGAATGATTTAACATTCTTTAAATAAAATGAACTTTTCCTTAAGAATTTAAACTGAGATAAATATAAAGCAGGCAAGTTGCTCTATAAGACACTTGGAAATGTGTTGTGTTGTACTACACTGGAAAAAGAATTGTGATTCTCAAGCCAAATTTGTCAAGGATGAGGAAAGGTCTCCCTACATAGGTACAATATAAAATCTCTTTCTTCCAGTAGAGGCTGTAGATCAGTTGGTTTTTTTTATTTTATTTTTTTCTGTTTTCTGTTGGCCATCACAAAAAAGAAATAGTTTTGCTTGCTGCCTAATGACACTGCAATTTTATAGATATGTGGGCAACCGAAGTCTACACAGTAGGATACAAAATTGTGAGAATCAAGCTGATAAATTGTGAAGATCAAAAGCCAGAAAAATCAAGTGGGATCTACAAGAGACATCTGATGGGTCTCAGATGATGTAGTTATGAAATATTATCTGTTTCTTTTTAAAAACAAAGAGTGAATACACAGTTTAACATTTATATTTCAAAACATTTTTGTTCTTTGTGTTTCCATTTTACTATTTTAACTATTTGTTGGTTGTAATGAGGAAGGGAAATGTCACTGAGGGAATATTGTTTTCTTAACACATTTTAGTCTAAATGCTTCTGTTCTGAAGCTAGATATTTGTGATAAAATATTGCCAGAATATTTCTTAAAGAGTCATCCAAGCATAGAAATTATGGATGACACTATTGTTAGCTTTGCATTCAGAATTTCTTTTCAGAACAGAGTCTCAGAAATGTGGATATACTAAAATTCCCTCCTAAAAGGGTAAATACTATTTCTTTTATTGACTAATTATCTTGATGGCAAACAATTTGTCTAATTGAAACATACATAAAATAGGTTTTAAGTGCCCAAAGCTGAAAAAGTCTTTAAAAAACTGTATATGATTATTCAATCATAATATCTAACTTAGTGAGCAATCAATTTTTGGAATTTAGGGGATCAGTGGGCACTATATATAAAAAGTATTGCTACTGTAAATGCTTATTAGTATTAGCTTAAGTGAAAGCCTGTGTCTGAGGTACAGGACCCTTTATAAAATAGTAGAGACTTAGTTTGAGTCTCTGATGAGAAATATAAATATTCTTGTACCATCAAAGTCATTTTATGTTGTAAATAATAGAAGCTTGTTGGCACTGACTTAGTTGAAGGAGACTGAATATGAGGATACTGGCTGAATCATGAATCTCAAGGTGCAATAATACGGCTAAGCTTCAAGTCCTAGAAAGAGAAATTGAAATGCCCACTAAACTTTCCACGTTGTCCTCCTACTCTTATTTCTATGCTTGGTTCATATATTATTTTAATTCTAGCTGTATACAGATCATTTCTGCTTTTTAAGACACAACATAAAATATGGTCACAGGCTACCCCCAAATATACCGGTGACTGGTCCATCTACCTAAAATGAGACTACAATTTAGACTGAATTCCAAATACACAAAAATCTGTTTAGCTACCTACTTATTCTTGGCCAGGGGGACAGCTCATGTCGTGTGGATCTACTTGTAGCTCACCCCTTGGAAAGACAATGAGAAAAGGCTTCAAACAGAGGGAAGTTGTTGAGAGTTGTAAAGAAATGTAATGGTTGCTGAATATAATATGCCACTTTGGTGAAAATTCTGGTTGCTGAGAGAGGTGGAATGAGTACTGCGCTATGGCATATAACAGTTTCACCATCCCAGAGGAAGCAACTAAGCATGCCATTGTACAAATCCATAAAACTGTGTGCAGTGTTGGGAATTACCATTCATTGACCTCCTTATAGCTTCATTTTACTCTTACAGCAGTGCTATGAAGTCAGTATTAGTAAGTTTATAAGTAAAGAAAATAAAGTTCAAAATTTTGAGTTCTTTACCACTGCTAGTAAGTAAAAATAAAAAAAGAATGTACCCCTTTGTGTCTGATGCCAATACCTGTTCTTTATACTCTGCTGCTTAGCAGATATCAAGGTCAGATAGGGTTCAGTGAAGTGCTGGTACGGAAGGTCGATCCAGAAAGTCACAGTGGTGGGAGAGTCCGTAAAAAACGGTTGAGAAAGAGGAAGGAACCGAATTTTTTTCTGTGTTTCCAGATCTGTATATTCTTGTATACCATTTAGCTAATGCTTATGAATAGAGAAAATGGAATCCAGACTCATGGACTAGACAGAATGTCAATCATAATCACAATGCTAATTAAAGGCAGAATCTGCCATTTGGTAAGCATCATTACTGGCCATTATATATGTCAAGTACCTGTTATAAGTCAAGCCAGGGACTTCTCCTAGAGTGAGATTGTAGAATAAGGTAGGATACCTACAGAATCTTGATTACTTAGTTTGATTTACAAGGGTCTACACAGACCAGTTCCAAACAATATTTCTCACTGCATCTATCCATATTCTTCAAATAAACCATACTTGTATTTCAACCGCAACAGATATCTCACCATTTTCTGAACGTATCATGTTCTTTTAATGGTTTAAACACAACCACGTCTTTAATTATCCCTCCCCACATCCACACTCAGAGCACCGTCCTATCCATTTCTGCTTTGAAAGTGTTTACTATCCTTTAAGATTCACGCCACTTCCTCTGTCAAGAGTTATCTGAAATTGCTTTCCCACCATTAGAGGTGAGTGTGACTCACAATACAATGTAATAATCTGTATAAATCTGTCAGTCCCTCTAAACTGTGAGCTCCTTGAGGAAAGGAAGAAAGCATTTACTTTTTCTCTATCCACTGGCAAGATCCAAATATTTATAAATTACCTAGCCAACACCATCAGAAACTTCTCTCTCTCTCCTTAGTGTCCCATCTATGAATTAAGCTATTTCAATGTGGTCATTTTGAAAGCCAGCATGACCTACAACAGTTCTTCATAATTTCAGTGTTTGATCCACACCCAATCACATGTAGTTTGCCTTTCTCTGAAAAACTTATATCTGACTTATATCTGAAAATACGGTTAGTTTGAGTCATAGTATTCATGGGACTGAAAAACATTTTTCTTAGTATTACTGACCAGTTACTGTTATTTGTTTCATGTCTGTGTTAACTCCTACTTTTATTGTATTAACTATTTTGCTTACAACTAGATCAACCAATGATTCTGGATTTAAGGTACTTGTGTCTGTTTCCTGTAACACATTGTTTTCCAATTTATCCAATGGAGACTCAGTTCACTTGAAAATAGATGCAAGAAAGACTGGAATCACAATTTCAATGGAAATTAACAATTTTTGTTTTCTGACATATCCAAAACACTGTAGCAGCTTCTTCCGAAGGTGACAGTATCGCTGCCTTGGTAGATCTTGCAGCATACATATTGTTGATCTTATCTTCACCAAGCACTTTTAACTGTGGTACGTTGGGCTTTTCTGAATCAAATGGAACTTGTTCTAATAGCATGAGGGCGGCATTCAAAACAATATTAGAAAATCGATATACATAAACATATATTAATTTTATTTAAAGAAAGAACAAAATAAACATCATTTATGTTTAATATATTCATTGACACTGGTCTGAATTGACATGCAAATACCTTCATTTCATCTATTTATAAAAGTCAAAGTATCCTTGATACCATAAATGTCTTGGCATAAAAATATTAAAGGAAATAGCCCACAAATTGTAGTAATAGTAATAATGAAGCACAAATAGGAACAAAATGTCAGAACTGACACTTCTCCTCCCTATCAGAACCATCTTCAGATTTATCTGAGTCTGCAAAGAAATGGGGACCTGTTAATATTTTAATAATTAGTAAAAAGTGAAGGCTTTTTGACAGAATTATGCTATTGAGAGAATATTCCAAAGGTGGATGTTTGAAATGTTTTCATCACCATATGCTTATCTTTTTGCCAAAACAATGTAAATGTGTTGCTTATAAAACTTCTGTTATTTGTGCACATTAAAAACAAATTTTTCTAGACAGTTTTCATATTCCAAGCAAATGGTTTTAATGGTTTTAAAATATATTTGATAAACATAAAAATATGACTTCTAATTAGTATTATTTCCATTTGAGAATATAATCAGCTATTTGTTGATTGTCAATAACAACACAATTGACATAATTGGTATTTGGGATTGAAAAATGTATACCATGATATGCTTCCTCTATATGGATTCATGTATCTCTATGAGATTTTCTTCAGATATATCAGCATTAAAACAAGCCTTTAACATCCTATTCAATAAATGGTACTGAAAAAGTTAGCCATATGCAAAAGAATGAAACTGGATCCCTGCCTCTCACCATATACAAAAATGAACTCAAGACGGATTAGAGACTTAGATTTTTGAGGAACCTCCAAACTCTTCTCTGTAGACCTCAAACTATAAAGATCCTAGAAGAAAACCCAGGAAAAACTTTTCTGGACATTGGCCTAGGTAAAGAATTTATGACTAAGACCTCAAAAGCAAACGCAGTAAAAACAAAAATAGACAAGCGGGACTTCATTAAATTACAAAGCTTTTGCACAGCAAAAGAAATAACAGAGTAAACAGACAACCTACAGAATGGAAGGAAATATTTACCAGCTATGCATCTCACAAAGGACTAATATCCAGAATCTACAAACGGCTCAAAGAACTCAACAAGAAAAGAAGAAATAACCCCATTAAAAGGTAGACGAAGGACATGAACAGACATTTCTCAAAAGGAGACATACAGGCAGCCAACAAACATATGAAAACATGTTCAATATCACTAATCATCAGCAAAATGCACATTAAAACCACAATGAGATATCATCTCACCCCAGTCAGAATGCCTATTATTAAAAAGACAAGAAACAACGGATGTTGGCGAGGATGTGGAGAAAAGGGAATGCTTATGCACTGTTGGCAGGAATGTAAATTAGTATAACCTCTATGGCAAACAGCATGGAGATTTCTCAAATAACTAAAAATAGAACCACCATTTAACCCAGCAATCCCATTACTGGCTATCTACTCAAAAGAAAAAAAAAAAAACGCACCTGCACTCGTATATTTATCATAGCACTGTTCACAATAGCAAAGTCATGAAATCAACATAGATGCCCATCAGTGGTAGACTGGATAAAGAAAATGTGATGTGTATGCACTATGGAATACTATGCAGCCATTAAAATGAATGAAATAATGTTTTTTGCAGCAACATGAACAAAGTTGAATGCCATTATGCTAAGTAAAGTAACTCAGAAACAGAAAATCAAACACCACATGTTGTTCACTTATAAGTTAGAGGTAAACATTGGGTGCACATGGACATACAGAAGGGGACAATAGACACTGAGGACTACAAAAGGGCAGAGGTTAGTTTTGAAAAATTACCTATTTGGTACAATGTTCACTTTTCGGGTGATGGCTACTCTAGGAGCCCACACATCACCACCCAAGCAATATATCCACGTATCAAACTTGCATATTACCCCCTCAATCTATAAAAATAATGAATGAATGAATAAATACAAATCTTTAGATTTGAGCTTTATACTAATCTTTTGAATTGCTGTATTATAGATAATTAAACAATGATTCAAAAAGTAATAATGAAGTCTATTTATTTTCTCAATAATTTGTCTCATTAAGAAAATACAATTTTGATCTACTAATGATTTTTAAAGTGGTTTATTTCCTCTTTAGCTCACAAAGTATATTTTTACATGTTTAATAAGACTGCAACTTATTTGCTGTTAATGTATGCACTTTATCCGTAACTATACACACGTTGGTATTGTGAGTGTATGCAAAATTGTTTTAATTTTTAAGCGTATGTGAGCAAAAGAAAAGAATAAACATGGATACAACTGATATAAAGGCTTCAAATTTGTTCTTGTTGTTGTTGTTATTGTTTTTTCTGAGACAGAGTCTCACTCTCTCACTCAGGCTGGAGTGCAGTGGTGTGATCTTGGCTCACTATTAGTAAGGTGCTTAATCTCTCCATTCTTGAACCACTGCATGCCTATTTAGTTACCCCTCCTTTTCCACCCCTCCAAGCATTCTATGTCCCTTGCATTATCCCATGCTCCCATGCCCACCCAATTCTCTGCTTCAATATTTCTGCATAACATAATTCCATTTGTTTTTGCTGTTCTCTTTACGTTCATTTTCTTTATTATATCAGAATCACGCTCAGCCTTCCAAAGCTAGCTCACTGCATCTCATAATGTCTTGTTAGGCATCCACAGAAATGTTTTTATGCATCTATTATAGCTCTGATCATACTTATAGTTATCCTTGTAAGCTTCCATAAATGGCTCTCTTCTCTTATGAGTTCCTCAGAGGCAAGGATCACATCTTACTCATCGGTTTTCCCAGTGTCTAGCATAGTGACTGTCATGGTATAAGCATCAATAAATGGGTCGTAGTGTCTTTCCTCACAGGAAAAGGGAAATTAAATAAATGATTACACTGTGGTTAGAAGAATGGACTAGTTTGAAATGCCACAAGTAGTTGCCTCCAGCTATCACTGTAATAATGTTTTGCTTACATACCACTTTTAATCTTTAGATTCTACACATATAAGTAAACTTTTACACGGGTTCTGGGAATTTATGTGATGGCAATTGGAAATATTCCAAGGATTTTATTGAAATAAGAGGCAGCACAATAAAGTGACCAGATGTTACACACTATGAACATGTACCGTTGGCATCTCATTTTAGTCTTAGCAAAAAAAAAAAAAGAAATAATTTTTCAAAATTGCATGTGGGGTTCACATCCACAAAGCCCATTATTTTCCCACAGGTATCTGAAATAATAAGAATAGGGACAGCGTTTCTTCTACATTCCTAACATACATCTGAAAAGGAATGAGACCACAGGGACACATGAGAAGTGCTCAATAGCTTTGTAGTTGGTTGTAATTTTTTCCTCAACAAATAATCTCATTGCCAGCATTAAAATGCCTGCAACATATGAAGTGAGGGTTGAGCGTCAGCAATGAGGTTCAAATCTGAAACTTAGTTATATCTGTTGTCTGTTTTTAAATTTAATAAATATGGGATTTAATAAGATATAGTAATTATATTTACTTAAAAAAGAGTACATTAGGAGACACTGGCTTAATGACAACTTATCCTGTTGTGAAAGATCACTGGGCTTGGGAGGAGCCAGATGTGGTTTAGAATGCTATATCAGTGCCTTAATAGCTGTTGCTGTAGAATTTTGGGAAAAGTACATAACCAAATCACCCATAACACGTCTTTTTAATTTATTTTCTTATATAAGGGTAGTAATAAGTTCTCCAAAAGGTTATTGTGTTGATTGAGGTAATGGATACATTATTGAGCACATAGAAGATGTTTAAAATTATAAACACAGTATTAAATATGATACTTTAGCTTGTAAATTATGAAGATAAACTTATCTAATAAAAATAAATTTTAATGATTCAAAATAAATGTCTACATTCTAATAAAAATAAGGCTCATGGTAGATTATATTCCCATCCCCAATTCTTCATTCCTCACTTATCCATTTCCTTAACTATTTGTGAAATTTTGCAATATGCTTTCATAATGGGTAGGACTCCTTTCCCATCTCTTGACTCTAACCATGGCCATGTGACTTTTCTAAGCCAATAGAATAAAGTGAAACTGATGAGATGATGATATGGCTGTTCGGAACCCAGGCTTTATGCACATTTTTATGAACCCTCACACCATGGCAATCACCGTGAGAAAGATATGTCTAGGCTCACGTTTTAGTCTCAGGAGCATAATGAGACATACTTCAAGGAAATTCACCTGTAGCTGAGCTCAGCCTAGACCAAGTGATTTCTTGCCAAACCACAAACTGATAAGATATAATAATGATAGTTGTATAGACACTGAATTTTGGTAGTTTAAATGGCTAAACTGACAAAGTCACAATAGTTGAGAAAGGGTAACCTATATGGTATTTCCAGAGAAGCTTGATAGAAGATTGCATGTAGTCCCACTCTAATAAAACATAGACTTGTCCCTGAAATCCTCACAACTGTAGCTAATTACTTAATTATTATGCATTCTGGACCTTCCTTGCTATAATTTAATTTTGTCACATCGTTAATGTGAATATATTTATCATAATTTATAATAAGTTAACCTTTATTAGGGTTAGGAGTCAGGAACATGGAAAGGCAACAACTCTAACTGAACAGGCGGAGTATATAGACTTAGGGAGTTCAAAAGACAAAAAATAACTGCCAAAAACAGATTTTCCATTTTTCCAAGTTATTATATCAGAATTCTGTCAATGAAAAACACATTTTTATTGATATCTTTCTTTTACTGACCACGAGGGCAATTCCTTTCTATTGCAGAACAACTTGGAAAACACATAAAAGGTATGAATAGCAGTAATGAAGTAATACCATAATACAGGTGACATAATGTGGATAAAATGTTTGATAAAATTTAGATGTGGATCTTTCCACACATTTATCTGTATTTATACTTAGGTTTTAGGATGGGGTCAACAATTTTGTGCCATTTTCTTATAAATGATTTCAAATAATGCATCATGAATGTTTTATAAAAACATTAGCCTAATAATTGTGAAACATGGTTTTATGTGCTGTTTCATTCTATCATACAATATTTTTCTGATTGATTTCTGACTTTTTTAGCATTTTAAATATTTTAAATGTTTTCTAAGTGTTTTCTACTTTCAGATTTACTAAAATATTCCATTTTAAATAGTATTTTCTTTTTCTTGGATTTTGTTTCATAATATTTTTCATTAAGAACATACATGTATTATCACATTTAATCCACTCAAAACCCTCAGAAGGCAGTATTTATTTTTATCATGAATTTACAGATAAAGAATGCACCTTAGAGAAGTTAAATAAGTTGTTTAATGCTATGAACCAAGTCCATAGTCTGATCCTAGCGTTATACTGTAACACGAAAGGATACTTACACGCAAGACTAAAGAGGATCAAACCTGATACTCAACCTATGGCTGCATTCCATCCTGAACCACAGTGCCTGAAAACAGTGATTACAGTTTTCTATGATTCAGTGAGTTCACTGGGAGTTTCTTCTGCTTAGGCTCACCTGGGCTCAAACATGGAACTACAGACAGCTACTCTGGGGTAGTCTAGGATGCCCCCTCACAAGGATGCAGTTCCAACTGGAATGGCAGGAACAGCTAGCATGGCTGGGCCTCTCCCTCCAGCTGGTCTTTCATTCTGGAATTGTTCTCAGCGTGGGGAGCTCAAGACTCCAAAAGGGCAAAGACAGAAACTGTGAAGCATCTTAGGACTCAGCCGAGGAAAGTGAGTAATGTCACATGAGAAACATTTCACTGATCAAAATAACCAAGCCAGCATCACCGCATAAGGAAATGAATTCAAACCCTGAAAGGAGAGAGACAAAAAGTCTCATTGCAAAATGGTGTTTTCACAGGAACACCTGACTCACTGGGAGTCATTGTTACCAAAGCGCACACAAAATCTACACAGTATTTTCATTCTAGTTTACGGGATATGTCTTTGTTGTTATTTGTAAAGTGAAACTTCACAGGGTTACATTGATAAAAGGTGGGGGCTCTCTGACAAATACCAAGAATTATTAAGAATTTTTGTACTTGTGTTAGCCTGGATGGAGCACCTTTAACATCGCTGGCACAAGTGATATGTTTCACTTCTTTAGGCACATTTTTTGCTTAGAGTTGGAAGGAGCCCAGGTGGTTTGCTGACCCAATAGTGCTAGATTGCTGAGATACTTCCGAGCTGACTGCTTGGGAACATGGAATTGTTCATTTATGTGTACCCATTCTGGGTCAAGAGACTGCTGATTGCTTGGGAACACTGAGAGATTCCTTTATGTGTGCCCACTCTGGGTCAAGAGAGACCACTTGTCCTGTGAACCATCTGGTCCAATCTCTCCCTGTTCTCTGTGACCTTCATGGGTAGAGAGGAACAAAGCAACTAAGGCTCCTGTCATTAACCACAGTTGTCAGGTTTCCTTTTATTGACAAATTTGGAGTTGGAATGGTTTTGAGGAGAAGAGACTGAGCTGCCTGACTCAAACCTTGCAGCAACTTCCTGGCTGCTCTGAGACATCTACTCCCTGCAGCCTGCATCAGAGGGTAGGTTTGAGAACAGAGACTTAAGGGAATGGGAAGGAAAAGAACAAAAAGACAATCAGGAATGAGTAGTAAGAATAATAGGCTGCCATGCTGATCATAGGACTGAGGAGAACACAGGACGTGAAGGGTATCACACATGCCTTCGTCCCCCACCCCAGCCTACACCACTGCCAGCCTTGCCCCTGCTCTGTCCCCCTCGGCAGGATGCCAAGAGACAGAGGGTGGCAAAAATCCAATGCGTTATTCTTTTCCGACCCCCTCCCCACTCTCACCAGATGCCTCCGAAAATCAGCTGGACGGTGGGAGGGATCAAGAATGACTGCCGTCACCATGGAAACTCCTTGATGGTGAGATTGCTTTGAGAACCAGGAGGGGATGAGATAAGCACCAGAGGAACACTGGGCAGTCAGGGCCCAGCATCCACCAACCCTTTCTTCCAGATAACTCCTTTGTTCTCTGGGCTGGTCTCCCTTTTGCTCCTATAGGGGCCCTTTCTGACTCTTCACCTGTTTTGATTCTTCAGTGGTGCCCTTCCCGGGTCTGGGAGGGAAGGGCCCGAGGCCCACTCAGGGCTGCCCCAGGATGGCCACTTCTCACTGCAGCCCAGACACCCTGGTCTATAAGACACACTATCCTTGCCACTGAGAAGGAAGGGACGTCAACACTTTTGAGCCAAGCCCTGTGTCCCCTGCATCCAGCAAGGAAGAAGAAAAATAAAGACCTGACTATTTTTCACAGGTGCAACGGGTGACTAAAGACCGAAAGAGAGTGGGGTGGTTTTCACTTCATCTTGTTGAGAAGCCAGGGCCTGAAGTCCAGAGATCCCCATTCACATGCACCCTCTTCGGTGGGAAGGGGAGGAACTCTTACCTCCCTCTCTGCCATGTTCTCCTCTCGTTGCCCATTTGTGTACTATCCTCTCCGTCCCCTACCTGACTGCATGTGCCTTGAATGCAAAGGTCTTACTGCTCATCAGCTTTACATCTGCATCACAGTCACAATTCCTGCACCTTACAGGCCTGGATCAAATTCTTGTGAATGAGCAAAAGCATCTCTAAAGGTCACCAGTGCCCTGCTTGTCTCAATCCTAGCTGGACACTAGGCTATAATGCTCCTTATAAATGTGAAAGAAGCTGTGTGGGCTTTTTGCAGTGTATAAACAGACTGGCCTATTATCCATGGCTTTTCCTAAGAAAGATCTTCAATAGTTACACGAAAAATGCAAATAAAGCCTGTGGGGATTATCAAGCCCTCCAAATATCTGGATTGTCTCTGGAGGAAACTGTTCCTGTAGGCCCAAAGTGAAGGGCTTATGTATTATGCATGGCCCTTCAGAGAAACAGAAATGAAAGAAAGAGAAATATTTATTATAAGGAATTAAATCACATCATTATGGAGGCTGAGAAGTCTCAATATCTGCAGTTTATCAACTGGACAGACAGGAAAGCCTATTTGTAGTTCCAGCTGGAGTATGAAGGCCTGCAAGCAAGGAGAGCCCATGGTGCATGTTCCAGCCCAAAAGGTGGAAGGCAGGAGACCCAAGAAGAACTGATGCTTCAATTGATGTCCAAAGGCCAGAAAAGACTAGTGTCTCAGCTCACAGAAGTCAGGCAGGAAGAGTTCCCATTTTTCAGCCTTTGTGTTCTATTCAGGCCTTCAATTGATTGAGTGAGGCCCACACACATTAGGGAAGGAAATTTGCTTTACTCAGTCCACCTATTCGAATTTTAATCTCATCCAGAAATACCCTCACAGGCATGCCCAACGAATAAGTGTTTTTCCACCCTGTGGCCCAGTTGGCACATAAAATTAACCATCAAATATTGTTAGATATGTTTAGCTTTATTCTGGGAAACTGCCACACAGTCTTTCAAAGCGAATATACTGACTCTTTGCCCCTATTTTCAAAGTATCTGGGTTTCAGTAGCATCACATCCCTATTGTGACTGGTCATTTCAACATTTTCAATTTTACCCACTCTCACTTGTGAGATTGTATCTCTTGAATTAAATGTGTATTTATAACACACAAATGATCTTGACACTATTTCATAATATGATTGGCTGTTTAGGTGTCCATTTTAGGGAATTTCTATTCAAACTTTAATTTTTTTTTTTTTTTTTTGGAGATGAAACCTTGCTCTGTTGCCTAGGCTAGAGTGCAGTGGCATTACCTCAGCTCACTGCAACCTTCACCTCCTAGGTTCAAATGGTTCTCGTGCCTCCTTCACCCAAGTTGCTGGGATTACAGGTGTGCACCCGCATGCCCAGCTAATTTTTTTGTATTCTCAGTGGAGACGGGGTTTCACCATGTTGGCCAGTCTGGCTTTCAACTCCTGGCCTCAAGCAGTCCACCCGCCTCGGCCTCCCAAAGTGCTGGGACGACAGGTGTGATCCACCACACCTGGCCTTTAATCTTAAGTGGATGGACTGTATTGATCTTTTTTGGTAATATTTCTGTGTATATTCATTATATAAATATTTTTAGGATTCATTAATTATAAATGACTGTTTCCATTTGTGGCATGGCTTTTCATTCTCCATGATATCTTTGTTAAATTTTCTCATTTAAAAAATCAAGCTGCTATTTCATATTTGGTT
Source organism: Homo sapiens (assembly GCF_000001405.40). Taxonomy (NCBI): domain Eukaryota; kingdom Metazoa; phylum Chordata; class Mammalia; order Primates; family Hominidae; genus Homo; species Homo sapiens. Next base: position 146,973,752 of record NC_000023.11, read on the forward strand.
TGTCTGTATTCCAAAGTCATTAAGTATTCTATAAGTTTTATCCTATAAAATGTATTGTTTTACCTTTCAAGTATTAATCTATTATATATATGAGATTGATTTTTTGTGTATTATGTAGGGTTCAGATATATTCTTAAAATACAGATATCCATGTGCTACAGCATCATTTATTAAAAATATCTGTATTTCATAAAAAATGCCAACAACAAACATTTTCAGGCTAGATGGATTCACAGCCAAATTCGATCAGACATTCAAAGAGGAACTGGTACCAACCCTACTGAAACTATTTCAAAAGATTGAGAAAAAGAGAATCGTTACTAGCTCATTCTGTGAAGCCAGTATCACCTTGATACTGAAACAATGAAAGGACATAACAAAAAAAGGAAAAATAAAGACCAATATCCCCAACGAACAAAGATGCAAACATTCTCAGCAAAATACTAGCAAATCAAATCCATCAACACATCCATCAAAAATATAATTCACCATGGTTGAATGGGTTTTATTCCAGGGATGCCTGGATGGTTCAACATATGCAAATCAATAAATGTGACTCATCACATAATTACAAAAAAACATACGATCATCTCAATAGATGCTGCCTGATTCATGAATCATTGTTTGTGCAAATAAACTCTGCTTAATTTAAAATAATGAAGAATGACAAGATCTTCATTTTAAAATTGTTTGCTAGTAATAGAAATAAAATTGATTTTTATATATTGCATTTACATGCACATATTATCTTTTATAAATTCATGTATTCATTCTAGTTTTATTCTGATTCTTTTGAGTTTTAATTGCAAACAATTATGTGTTCTGTGAATTAAGACCATCTTCTTTGTTTTCAATAACTCTCTTTTATTTATTTCTCTTACCTTATTTAATGGCTAGTACCCTGACTAAAATATTGTATGCCAGTTGCAATGAATGGAAATCTTGTCTTCTACCTGGATTCTGAAAGTGTTTAGTATTTTGCCTTAGAGAATTAATGTGGCTGCAGATGTGTTTTTGTAGATATCTGTTATAGGTATAAATAGGTTCCTTTTTATTTCTTGTTTAATGTCAACTTTTCTGCGAAAGGGTTTTGAATGTTATTAAATGTTTTCATTCTTAAAGGGCATCTTGTATGCTTCATAGATTTTCTCTTATGACATTTGTATACACATTTTTGTGTGAAAATAACTTTCCAAAACACTTGTATAAATATCTAATATTAGCATTGTTAATTTGTTTGGTAAGTATATGGTTAATTTGGTAAAAAACAAACAAAAAAACTACCAAACTGTTTTACGAAAAGCTGTACAATTTTGTTTTCTCTTCTGCAATATGTGAAAGTTCTAGTTGTTTCTTTTGCATGTTCAGCAGCACTTGGAATTCTCCAATCTCGATGAAAAGTATAAATTCAGAGATCTAAGAAGCTCAACCAGACTCTAAGCACAAGAATCAGAAAGAAATAGGCTGTCTTCAAACTACACCAACATACATCTTACTCATATTGCCCCAAATCAGTATTAGCAAATTTTAAAGCAGTAGTGGGGTAAGTGGAACACATGTTATGTATGAAGGAACAGAGGAAGGTATGACAAAACTTTTCCCTCCATAAAAATGCCAGTGGGAAGACATTTAATTAATATCAGGAAAGAATTAAAAGGAAAAAAAAATCCTGTCAACCTAGAGTTCAATACTTAGCAAAAACCATATTTCAAGAGTGAAGACATATTCTTTTTTAGTTATACACATTCTGATACAGTTCATTACCAGAAGGTCCACAATGTAAGAAATGTCAAAGGGACAGTAATTACATGAGCAAGAAATATAGATCTACGTGGAGTAAAAATGTGCTTCAAAAATGAAAACATTAGTAAATATAATATTTGTTGTCATTTAAACATTTAAAGATAACTTGCTGTTTGAAGAAAAATAATAATGTATTGGGAGACTTTAGCATAAGTAAAATTAGGTGTGTAATAAAAGTATCATGCAGGCCAAAAGAGAAACTTAGAAATGTATTGTATTTTTTGAAAGATATTGTAAGTTTCTTATAGATGAAATGCTGTAATATCACTTGAAAATAAAAGATAGGTTAAAGAGGTATACTATAAATACTAAAGCAATAAAAAATAACAAAATGAAGATTTATAACTGGAAAACCATCAAAGGAGATACAATGGAAAATTCAAAAATATTTGATGAATCTAATAGGTATCAGAAAGAGAAGAAAAAGAAAGATACCCAAAGGACTATTTAGACAAATTGAAAACAAGATGAAAGTCTTAAACTAAGCCTTATCAAATAATCACAAATTAAATGTAAATTACAATTTACCCCAATTAAGAAACTGTCAGATTTTCCCAATTATATGGCATCACAGAAAACATGTTTAAATATGAAGTCAAAATATGCTGAAGTGAAAGGATCAAAAATGGTACGTTAACACTAAGTTATGCTGAAGTAGTCATATTCAATATTATACTAAGTGAATTTCAGAGCAAGGAATATTACTAGAGATAAAGAATATTAAGTCATAATGATAAAGAGTCTATTCTTCAAGATTACATAATTCTAAATGTTTAAGCACTTATAAAGAAAACATCAAAGTATTTGAAGCATTTTGTTGCAAATTTTCTTCTGCACACTGCTTTAGCTCTATCTCATGGATTTGTATAGGCTGTATGTTTATTTTTACTCAGAACAAATATTTAGAAATGTATTTGACTTACAGGTATTTGGAGATTTTTGAGATATTTGATTATTTATTGCTAGTTTAATTCTACTATGCAACAAGAAAGATTATTTGAAATTTATATTATTTTAAATTTCTTAAGGATTTTTATGGCCCAGAATATCATGTCACTTAGTGAATGCTCTATGAGAACCTGAAAAAAATGTATATTCCATTCTTTCTTTTCCCTGTCTCTTTTTAGGGGCACAGAGTTGGTTGATGAATGGAGGGCTGGAGCTTGAGGCTGGATGTGTACCCCAGAAGGGTCTCTAAGATTCAAAACCTTTTCATACCAATGTCCCTAATTCCTCCATGTTATTGGCATTGGACTTGATCTCTCTTCATACATATTTTTGTATACATAAGGTGTGCAAGGGTGTGTGTGCATGTGTGTGTGTGTGTGTGTGAGGGATAGGGTCTCAGAGTGAATGTATTTGTTTTTTATACTTTGACCTTGTACACAGTGAACTTTCTAAATTTTTATTTTAATTGTTTTTCAATTGTTTATGTAGACAATCATGCTGTCTGAGTAGAGATATTCACATCTTCCTTTAAAGCATTTATTCATTTTATTTACATCTTTCTTTAAAACATTTATTCATTTTATTTATTTCCCTTGCCTTATTGTGCCAGCTAGAATCTGCAGTAAAATTTGGAATTGCACGTGGTGATAATGGACACCCTTGTTTTATCCTTGAGCTCAGGGAGATATGATTCAATATTTCACCAGGAGCATAACATCAGCTATGGTTGTTTTGTAGCTATTCATCATTAGCATGAAATGTTTCTTTGTATTTCTTGCTTACTAAAAATTTTTATCATGAAAAGATAGGGAATTTAGTAAAATGATTTTCTCTGCATTAATGTTGATTATTATATATATTATATATATATATTTATAATTAATAGGATACCATCAGTTGTTTAAGATGTTGAATGTACCTTATATTTCTGCTATAAGCCCTAATTAGTGGTGAACTTAATTCATTTGTTAATGTCTTGTTTAAGATTTCTGTATGTATTTTCATAAGCCCTATTTATTTGCTAAAATTTATTTGTCTGATCTTGTTTTCAAAATTATGTTAGTCTCACATGCTAGCTGGGATATGTTCCCTTTCATTTCTTTAAATAGTAGAGTATGAATAAATTTGGCAATATATTTTCCTTCTTCAAAGTTTTGTGGAATCACTCTTAAAGGTATCTCAGTGTGGAATTCTCTTTATAGGAAAATTTTAAACTATGGCTTTAAATTGTACATAATGGACCTGGGTCATTTAGAATTTGTGTGTTATTGTATCAGTTTTAGTTAGCTGTATAAATTTGAATATTTTATATAATTTGTTAAATGTAATGCAGTATAGTTGTCCAAATAATCCTTCTCCTATCATTTTGATATTCTTAAGTTCTGCAGTAATGTCTCCCATTTTGTTCGTGATACCGGAATTGTGTATTTTTTTCTTGATCAGTATTACATGTAATTATCACATCTCTTAACCTGCAAAATAAAACATTTTACTTGACAAGAAGCATTTTAAACAAAAACACAGTTTGAATGTCAACAACAGAAAAAGTTATATCATGCAACTTATGCATACAAATTTGGAGTGACTGTAATATTAGACAAAGTAGACTCCTAGACAAGGAGTGTTGCTAGAGCTAAAGGACGTTTTCTGTGTGTAAACCTATTTCTTTTTTTAATGTTTGTTTTAAGTTTGGGTGTACATGTGAGGGTTTGTTACATAGATAAACGTGTGTCAGAGGGGGTTGTTGTACATACTATTACATAAACCAGGCATTAAGCTCAGTAGCCAATAGCTATCTTTTCTGCTCCTCCCCATGTCCCAACCCTCTCCCCTGAAGTAGATCCCAGTGCTTCTTGTTTTCTTCTTTGTTTTCATAAGTTCTTGTCATTCAGCTCCAATTTATAAGTGAGAATAGTTTCTTTTGCTGTGCAGAATTGCTTTAGTTTAATTAGATCCCATTTGTCAATTTTTGCTTTTGTTGCCATTGCTTTTGGTTTCTTTGTCATGAAATCTTTGCCCATTCCTATGTCCAGGATGGTATTGCCTAGGTTGTCTTCCAGGGTTTTTATAGTTTTGGGTTTTACATCTAAGTCTTTAATTGGTCTTGAGTTTATCTTTGTATGTGGTATAAGAAAAGAGTCCAGTTTTAATTTTCTGCATATGGCTAGCTAGTTATTCCAGCATCATTTATTGAATAGGATGTCTTTCCCCTACTGCTTGTTTTTGTCAGCTTTGTCAAAGATCAGATGGTCATAGATAAGAAGCCTTATTTCTGGGCCCTCTATTCTGTTCCATTGGCCTATGTGCCTATTTTTGTACCAGCACCATGCTGTTTTGGTCACTTTAGCCTTATAGTATAGTTTGAAGTAGGGTAATGTGACTCTTCCAGCTTTCTTCTTTTTGCTAAGGATAGCGTTGGCTATTCCGGCTCTTTTTAGGTTCCAAATAAAATTATTTTTTTTTCTAGTTCTGTGAAGAATGTCATTGGTAGTGTGATAGGAATACTATTGAATCTGTAAATGGCTTTGAGCAGTGTAACCATTTTAATGTTATGGATTCTTTCTATTCATGAGCATGAGATTTTTTTTCCATTTCTTTGTGTCTTCTCTGATATATTTGAGCAGTGTTTTGTATTCTCATTGTAGAGCTCTTTCACCTCCTTTGTTAGCTGTATTCCTAGGTATTTTATTCTCTTTGTGGCAATTGTGAATGGGATTACCTTTCTGATTTGGCTCTCTGTTTTGTTGTTGGTGATGTATAGGAATGCTAGCAGTTTTTGTACATTAATTTTGTACCCTGAAACCTTGCTGAAGTTGTTTATCAGCTGTAAGAAGCTTTGGGGCCGATACTATGGTGTTTTGTAGACATAGAACCATGTCATCTGCAAACAGAGGTAGTTTGACTTCCTCTCTTCCTGTTTGGATGCCTTTATTTCTCTATCTTGCCTGATTCCTCTGGCTAGGACTTCTAATACCATTTGAATGGAAGTGGTGAGAGTGGGCATCCTTGTCTTGCGCTGGTTTTCAAGGGGAATGCTTCCAGCTTTTTTTCATTCAGTGTGATGTTGGCTGTGGGTTCGTCATAAATGGCTCTTATTATTTTGAGGTATGTTCCTTTAATATCTAGCTTGTTGAGAGTGTTTAATATGAAGAGATGTTAAATTTTATCAAAAGCCTTTTCTACGTTTATTGAGATAATCAGGTAGTTTTCATCTTTAATTCTGTTTATGTGATGAATCACATTTATTGATTTGTGTGTGTAGAGCCAACTTTGCATCCCATGAATGAAGGCTGTTTGATTGTGGTGGATTAGCTTTTTGATGTGCTGCCAGATTCAGTTTTCCAGTATTTTGTTGAGAATTTTTGCACCAATGTCCATCAAGGATATTGGCCTGAAGTTTTCTTCTTTTGTTGTATCTCTGTCAGGTTTTGATATCAGGATGATGCTGGCCTCAGAATGAGTTAGGGAGGAGTCCCTTCTTTTCAGTGTTTTGAAATAGTTTCAGTAGAAATGGTACCTGTTCTTCTTTGCACCTCTTGTAGAATTCAGCTGTGAATCCTTCTGGCCCTGGTTTTTTTCTTTTTTTTTTTTTTTTTTTTTTTTAGGCTATTTATTATGACCTCAATTTCAGAGCTGGTTAGTCTGTGCAGAGTTTCCATTGCTCCCTGGTTCAGTCTTGGGAGGATGTATGTGTCCAGAAATTTATACATGTCTTTTAGATTTTGTTAGTTTATGTGCGTAGAGGTGTTTATAATATTCTCTGATAATTGTTTGTATTACTGTGAGGTCAGCGGTAATATCCCCCTTATTATTTCTGATTGTGCTTATTTAAACCTTCTCTCTTTTCTTTTTTATTAGTCTAGCTTGTGGTCTCTCTATTTTATTAGCTTTTTGAAAAACCAACTCCTGGATTCATTGATCTTTTGAATGTTTTTTTGGATCTCTATCTCCAGGTCAGCTCTGATTTTTGTAATTTTTTGGTCTTCTGCCAGCTTTGGGATTTGTTTGCCTTGGTTCTCTAGTTCTTTTAGTTGTGATGTTAGATTGTTAACTTGACATCTTTCAGGCTTTTTGATGTGGGCATTTAGTGCTATAAATTTCCCACTTAACACTGCCTTAGGTATGTCTCAGAGATTCTGGTATGTTGTATCTTTGTTCTCATTAGTTTTAAATAACCTCTTGATTTCTGCCTTAGTTTTATTATAAACCCACAAGTCATTCAGTCATTATTCAATTTCCATGTAATCGTATGTTTTTGAGTGAATTTCTTAGTCTTAAGTTCTAATTTGATTGTGCTGGGGTCCAAGAGACTGTTAGGATTTCAGTTCTTTTGCATTTTCTGAGTAGTGTTTTACTTCTGATTATGTGACCAATTTTAGAGTAAAAGTGCCATGTGGTGATGAAAAGAATGTATATTCTGATGTTTTGGGGTGGAGAGTTCTGTAGATATCTATCAGGACCATTTAATTTAGAGCTGAGTTCAGGTCCTGAATATCTTTGTTAATTTTATGTCTCAGTGATCTGTCTAATATTGTCAGTGGAGTGTTAAAGTCTCCCACTATTATTGTTTGGGGGTCTCAGTGACTTTGAAAGTCTCTAGAAACTTTCTTTATGAATCCGGGTGCTCCTGTGTGCGGTGCATATATATTTAGGATAGTTAGCTCTTCTTGTTGAATTGATCCCTTTACCATTATGTACTGTCCTCCTTTGTCTTCTTTTTCCTTGTTGGTTTAAAGTCTGTTTTGTGACAAACTAGGATTGCAATCCCTGCTTTTTTCTGTTTTCCCTTTGCTTGGTACATTTTCCTCCATCCCTTTATGTTGAGCCTATGTATGTCATTGCATGTGAGATGGGTCTCGTGCAGAGAGTGTACCAGTGTGTCTTGGTTCTTTATCCAGCTTGTCACTCTGTGTGTCTTTTAATTGGCGCATTCAGCCCAGTTACATTTAAAGTTAGTATTGATATGTGTGGATTTGATCCTGTCGTCATGATGCTAGCTGGTTATTTTGTTGACTTGTTTATGGGATTGCTTCACAGTGTCACTATTCTGTGTAATAAAATGTCTTTTTGTGGTGGCTGGTAGTGTTTTTTTTTCTTTCAATATTTAGTGCTTACTTCAGGAGCTCTTGTAAGGCAAGTCTAGAGGTAACAACTTTTCTCAGCATTTGCTTGTCTGAAAAAGATCTTATTTCTCCTCCCCTTATGAAGCTTAGTTTGGCCAGATATGAAACTCTGGGTTGGAATTGCTTTTTTTTTTTTTTAAAGAATGTTAAATATTAGTCCCCAATCTCTTCTGGCTTGCAGGATTTCTGCTGAGAGGTCTGTTGTTAGTCTGATGCCCTTTGTAGGTTACCTGGCCTTTCCTTATGGCCACCCTTAACATTTTTTCTTTCGTTTCAACCTTGGAGAATCTGTTGATTATGTGTCTTGTGGATGATCTTCTCACAAAGTATCTTATGGGGTTCTCTGCATTTCCTGAATTTGAATGTTGACCTGTCTAACAAGGTTGGGAAGTTCTCATGGATTATTAATTTTTAAGTCATACACTTATACAACATTGTTAATTGCATTGTATTAATTAAAATAACTATAAACACTTATTTAATAACTGTGTATCTTTAAAAATTTAGTGGTTGCCTTAAGCTTTGCAATGTGCATCTCTAATTGATCACCATCTACCTTCAAATAATACAGCATCACTTCATGTAATGTGTAAAAACTTCATTATCATTTCAATTTCTATCTCTTCTCTTTTACTATTGTTGTCACACATTTTGCTCAGATATATGTTATAAACCTACAACATAATTGATACTACTTTGTGCTTTAGAAAGTCAATTTTCTTTTAGAGTCATTATAAATTAGAAGTTAAAAAACCAAAATCTTCTATATCTACTTTTATTTTAGCCATTTTTGGATATCTTCAATTTTTTGTGTGGATTCATGTTTCTGAATAGTATTATATTTTTTCAGCCTGAAACACTTTTTAAAAGGGGTATTCTGGTTCAGCTCTGCTGGCAATGATACCTTTAGCTTTAGTTTGTCAGAAATCATGCGACCACATGTTTGAAAATTATTGTCACTGAATATAGACTTTTGGATTGGCCGTTTATTTTTGTTCAGTACATTAAAGGTATTGCTGCATTGTCTTCTAGCTTACATAATTTCTGAGAAAACTTTGCTGTAATTCTTGTCTCTTTTTTCTTTTGGTACAGTAGAATTATTTTGTGCTTAAAAAAGAGAGCTGTCTTAATGTTCTTACTTCATCCTCAGGTTTCAGTGTTCCCTCTACATCTGCACCATGGAGGAGGTCTCTTTCCATTGTCTTACCCCTTACCCAGCAGTAAACTGTTGTTTCTTGTAATTTTGTGCTTGTAAGTTAGGTAGTGAAGTCCGGGAGAATCTCTTTTAGATGGCAAAGCCCCATTCTTTCACAGGCATTTGTCATTCTCTGTGGTCTTTCTCTTCCACTGTCTTTCCACCTCAAACTATACCTTTTATCTTTGGTGACTCTTGTAGAGCCAAGGGCTTCTTGCCCCATCACTGCAGCAGAACATACTTGTCTAGGCTCATGACTGATTTCTGGTAGTCTTCTAGGGACAGAGAGATTTTTTTAAATCTTTTTTTTAACCTTTCCCAGCTACAGTGATTCTTCACTCCTGCCCTTGGAAGAATTAGACTTACTGCCCCTACCAAGGATATTTACAGATGATATGTTTTTCTGTAGGGCATAAGGATTAGAGAGGAGCTTCATACTTTTTACACAACAATGGCATCTATATTCTTTCAGGCTTGTACCACCAAGAAAAGCTTTCTTCAATCTCCTGCTTTTTTTTCCCAATCTTTAACAACCAGGTGGAAGTTGGTGGAGAAGATCCTGTCTGTGGTAGCAGCCCTTTTGTGTCCGAGGCTCACAGGAGTTCTGTACCTGCACACTAGCCTACACTCTTCTTTTAGCAATGTGTTACAATCTTTAACTGACTTCTTCTTTCCTACTTGTATACACTTGATGTTTCTTTATTCTGCCAGTGGGTGAGCCAGTGTTCATGTCCTATCTCTGATTTCTTTTGTCATTGCTTCATCATTGATGTATTCAATAAATGTTATAATTTCATAGCTTTGTTGTTGTAAGAATTTTGTTTTGTTTTGTTTTGCTTTGCTTGTTATAGTGATTTTCTTTGGGAGAAGTGACACTTTCTTTTCTTTTTAGATTCATGAATTATCAGGAAAGGAGAGGACCTCTAATTACACTTTGAGAAGATGCTTCTATCCCTCATTACGCTTTGAAATTGAAGAATTTAGATATATTTAAGTCTATTTCACTCTTTTTAACTGATAGATGAATAAACTGTTCTCTTTATCAATGATCCCTCTTGGAGACCATTTGGTATTTCTGCTTTTTGGTTATTAATAACAATGCTTCAATAAATGCCTTTGCACATGTCTCCTTGTAAACATATGTAAGGATTTCCCTGATGCAGCTAAAACCTAGAAGTAGTTTTATTGGGGAGAAAGGTTTTACATTTATATTATCAACATTTTAAGGTACTACCCATTTGCTATTCAGACTGGTTTGATTGGTTTACACTTCTGCCTATAATAAATGTTTATTATTTATTATTTATGATTACTGTTTATCCATCTACTGGCTGGCATGTGATGTCATCACACAATTTCTGCAAACACAATGGATGTGAAATTGTATCTGAGTTGCTTAATTTGTGTTTTCCTGACTACTAGTAATGTTGAGCATCTTTTACGTTTTTTATGTACTTTATTTTTTACATTAAATAAATTTTGACAAAGAATTTGTGTCCGAATGCTAAGTGTTAGAAAATGAATTAAGTATTGGGAATAAAAAAAATCAAGAAAATGGATAATATCCCTGTCCTTACAGAGATTACATTGGCCATATATTTTCTTCTTATGGATCTTATCTGCATATTTATGGCCCATTTTTCTACCACATTGTTTATCTTTATAAAAAATGAGCTATAATAATTTTATATCATGGATATTACTTTTGTGCATTATATCTATTATAAATATCTTCTTCCCCCATAACTACTATTTTATTTTAAAATATTTTTTTATCCTGGAAATTATTTATTTAAATGCATTTAATTTTATCAATATTGTCATTCAAGTTTCGTGTCTCTTTCATCTAATTTAAGAAATTATTTACTATTTCATTGTAATAAACATATTCTTTTATTTTTTAATTATAAAGCTTTACATAAAACTGTGATTTACACGTGTGTATGGTATGAGGGAGGTATTTTATTTTGTTACTCTCTATATACATTTTTTTCATTCATTTAGAAAATATTCAACCAGGATTTCTCTCTTCTCTCAGAAATACTTAAGAGAAAAATTATCTACCTTAATTTAGCTTATGGTCTGGAGTAGGAGACAGCCAATAAAAATAATATGTAATAAGATGTAGATAAGTGGTAAGTTCTATGAAAGTGATGCAAGGTAAGGAAGGTATAAAGTGAAGGTGAGTGGGCCCTACTTTATATAGAAGAACTGTCTTTGAAATGATGACTTTTGAGCAATGACACAATAGACCTGAGGGAGTGATCCATGCAGATACTTGGGAAAATGCCTTGCAGGTTGAGATAGCAAAGAGTGCAAAATTCCCAAGGCAGGAGTTCCTAGGAGAATGAGGAATCCACAGTACCAGAATCAGAGTTAACTTGGGGAAGAGAATTAGAAATGTGATACGAATGGGGGACGATATTGTGCAGGGATTTGTAAGCGATCATATGTTTGGCTTTTACTCTATAGTGTATAAAAAGGCATTAGGAGGGGATTGAACAGAAAACTGAAAGGACTTAACATTTTAACAGGATTGTAGGCAATAGGCTTCAGACCGTAAAAAAAAAAAAGACAAAGGTAAAATCAGAGAGATCAGTTAGAATGTAGTTCTCTAGGGAGTAATCTAGAGGAGGGAGAATTATGGTTTGGATCAAGATAGTATCAATAAGAATGAAGAGAATAATTCAGATTGGGTAAAGTCAGCAGTAAGGATAGTGAGAAGTGCCCAGATGCTGGATATATTGTGAAAATAGCACTTAGATAATTTGCTGTTGGATTAGATGTGAGATGAGAGTTAAGAGTCAAGGATGATTCCAAGGTGTTTTCATCTGAGCAATTGGGTGAATGACAGTGCCATATAATGAAATGGGGAAGACTGCAGAGGAGTGAGTATGGTAAGGGAAAAGATCAGGAAATACTTATTAGACATTCCAATGGTGATGACAAGTAAACAGCTATATATATATATATAATCTAGAATTCAGGAAGGAGGCACAGGCCACAGAAAAATGGGAGTGTATGTTGCTTTCATTTTTATTTGTTTTTTTATATTATTGTGCTTTTTCACAATTTGATTTTGTTGGTCTTTTTCAATTAAATCTTATTCATTTTGGAAGCACAATTCAAGTATTCTTCATTCTGTAAATCCTTCCTTGAGTTCCCTTAGCTGAGCTGATTATTATCCTCTGTTTCTCTATCCTTTTATATATTTCTTTATCCTAGTGCTATTATTTTTTTCTATCTCTCCTTTTCTGTCTCACAAGCCAGATAATGCTCTCATTGAAGGCAGGCAGTTTGCCTGATTTGTATTAGTACTTTCAACAACTCACACACACACTCTCTCTCTCTCTCTCTCTCTCTCTCTCTGGATTGACACATAGTAGGTACTTAGTAAATATTTGTTGAAAGAGCTGTATATGCTGTCAGAGGATCAGAAAGAGGAGCCTACTTCTTATCTCTTCTTTGTCCTTTTAGTAACTTTCTTCATGTTTTGTACATGACAGAAACATTCCACTGGCTAGTTGGAAGAACATAATTGTGTTTGTTCTATTTTAATTAAATCTTGTTACAAAATATATGTGACATAAATGGAGTTATCTCTTTTGCAAATGGGTGATATAATGGGTTTGCATCCCATTAAGCTTTATAAAATGTTGTTACGTCATACAGTGTGACAAGCAAGAACAGCTCATAGCTTAAAAACTGGAATCATTTGAATTGCCTTTATTCAGGATTGTGGAATTTTTATCATAAGATCACAGTAGGCTAAGTGCTTTACCTTAGGGTAACTGAAATGTGATCCCCACTGTGGGAATTTGTGCCTCAAAGAATGGCATCTTTCCATTTGTGTACAACTGTGAATGACGATTTTTGTGTCTCTCTCTTTCAAAATACAGTTTTATGCTAAAATTTAAATGCTGCTTTTCAAGATAAATTTGTATAAACTTTCTGCTGGGATTCAGAATTTCTGGTGCTAGTCTCAGTATGGTTTGTGTAACTAAATGTAAACTACTCTTCAATGTGCTAATTTTGAAAAAGGACCATATTCTTAACAACATATGCTGCCTCAATCTTTGATTTAAAGTATCACTAATTTTTTACTCATTAAAGAGTTGAAGAGGAAACTCAACAACCTGGAAAAGTTATTCTGGGCACAAATGGATGTCAAAATATTAATATTCCTACATGACACTATAACAGTTCACATAAGATACTTGATTGTTGATTTTAGTTTAAACAGAAAGATCAATATTGATTTGAATACAATAGAACTTTCTCAATCATGATTGAAATAATCGAAAGATCCTCTGTGCTATATTGCCACTTTCTTACCTGTTTTCTATACCCACTTAAATTTGGCCTTTTTCCATTATTTCAGATGTGCCGCTTGTCTACCACCAACTCATACATTATCTCTAATAAGCAACTCTATCTCAAAGAATACGAACATTCTGAAAAACATTCTTAGTTATAATTCTCATGGTCCAGATATTTGTATGTGTTGTTGCATCCAAAAAAAAACTCATCTAAAAAGAATCTTCACCAAAATATGGCCTAGCAGTGAGGCTGGCACTTTTGGATATTCTAGTTCAATGCCACAGTTTTTCCCTGTAGACAAGTTACACCAACATATGCAAACTGTGTACAGCGGGCATTAAGAAAATGGATAAAGCTAGAAATAAGACTTGGGTGGTTAGTTAACTACACTGTATCTTTTTTTTTTTTTTTTTTTTTTGAGATGGAGTCTCGCTCTGTCGCCCAGGCTGCAGTGCATTGGCGCTACCTCTGCTCACTGCAAGCTCCGCCTCCTGGGTTCATGCCATTCTCCTGCCTCAGCCTCCCGAGTAGCTGGGACTACAGACGCCCGCCACCACGCCCTGCTAATTTTTTGTATCTTTAGTAGAGACGGGGTTTCACTGTGTTAGCCAGAATGGTCTCGATCTCCTGATTTCCTGATCTCATGATCCGCCCACCTCGGCCTCCCAAAGTGCTGGGATTACAGGCGTGAGCCACCGTGCCCGGCCAATCCTTTTAAAGATAAAATGTAGCAACAACTAGATAATTTCTCTGATGATGCAATATTGGCAGTGCCATAGACAATAGAAATTATGACCAAAATTAAGTTCTCTAAAGCTTTCTGACATGCAAAACAAACCACAGTAATTTCATAATTTCCCCCCTTGGCAAACCACAAGGTAATAATTCTCAACTTTTTCCCTAAGAATTACTTGTGCAATTTAGTAAAATGCAGATTCCATGGCCTTTCATGGCCCTGAAAAATTTTCATTTTTAACAAACTACTGGTATATGCACATATATCCACATAAATTGAGAAAAATAATGACTTTCCTTAGAAGTCAACTGAAGAAAAATCACAACTGAAGTTAAATTGCCCTCAAGACCTAGTAGTTATTTGTATTTCTTGCTTTGCATACCTCATAACTTACCTCATAATTAGGTATGAAAGAGGCACACAGAAAACCAATTGAGAGTGTTGATGGAATAGTAATGAAGAGTCTGATAAAGGCTAATCTTCCACAGATTAAGCCAAACCTTTGCAAAATGTATTTCGTAGTTCACAAGAAAGGGTTCTGTGGGCAAACACCTTTGCAAAACACTGCTTCCCTTTCTTCCTATGGGGAATTTCCAATCACACTAAAAACTCTTAGTAGTTCTTCAGTAAAGAGAACTGTTTAGTTTTGGCCCAGCATCCCACATGGTTATTTTATCACAGAACTATTTTTTTCTCCCACAAAAACCTACAAAGATACAACTGAACAAATGTTTCTTGTGTATATGTTAAACTAAATCACTAATTATATTTCACATAGGAACACATAATCAAATATTTGAACCATGGATACACAAAAAATAAAAAGCAAGAAATTAAATCATACCACAACGGAAAATCACCTTTACTAAAAGGAAAACAAGAAGGAAGGAAAGAAGGAAGAGGAGAACACAAAACAAACAAAAAACAAATAAAAAAATGACAGAGGTAAGTATTTACTTGTCAGTAACAACATTGATTGAAAATGAACTAAACTCATCAATCAAAAGACATATAGTGACTGAATGGTTAAAAAACAAAAGAAGATGCAGTGTTCTGTTTACTACAGGATACACATTTCACCTATGAGGACAAACATGGTCTAAAAATAAAGGAATGGAAAAAAGATATTCCGTGGCAAAAGAAACCCAAAAAGAGCAGGAGTAGCTATACTTATATCAGACAAAATAGACTTCAAGACAAAAACTGTAAGAGACAAAGAAGGTCATTATGTAATGAAAAAGGGGTCAACTCAGCAAGAGGATGTAACAATTTTAAATATATATGCACTCAACACTGGAGCACTCTGATATATAAATAAAAGTAGAGCTAAAGAGATAGGCCCCGATATGATAATAGCTGGAGACTCCAAACCCCACTTTCATCATTGAACAGATCTTCCGGGCAGAAAATCAACAAAGAAACATCAAACCTAATGTGCTCTATAAACCAAATGGACCTAATAGATATTTACAGAACACTTCATTCAAGAACTGCAGAATACACATTATTTTCCTTAGCACATAGATTATTCTCAAGGATAAACCACAGGTTAAGTCACAAAACAAGACTTCAAACTTTCAAAAAGTTGAAATAATATTAACTATCTTCTCGACAAAAGGGAATAAAACTAGAAATCAATAAAAAGAGGGATTTGGGAAACTATTTAAACATATGGAAATTAAATATACTCCTGAAGGACCAGGCAGTGAATGAAAAAAAGAAAATTGAAAAAAATTCTTAAAAACGTATAATGTAAGCACAACATACCAGAACCTATGGGATACAGTGAAAACAGTACTAAAAGGGAAATATGTAGCTATAAGGGCCTACATCAATGGATGAAAAAAAAACTTTAAATAATCGAATTAGGCATACTGAAGAACAGGAAAAGGAAGAGCAAACCAAACCCAAAATTAGTAGAAGAAAAGAAATATTAAAGATGGCAGTAGAACAGAAAAACAAAACAAAAGATCGATGAAACAAAAAGTTGTTTTTTAAAAAAGATAAACAAAATTAATAAAATTGTAGGCAGACTAAGAAAAGACCAAAATACAAAAGAGATAAAAAGGTCACATTACAGCTGATACTGCAGAAATTCAAAGGATCATTAGTGGCTACTATGAGCACCTATCTGTCAGTGAATTGGAAAATCTATAAGAAATGGGTAAAGTTCTAGACACATACAGCCTACCATGATTAAATCATGAAGAAATTCCAAATCTGAACAGACCATTTACAAGTAAGAAGATTGAAGTCATAACAAAAAGCCACTCAGTAAAGAAAAGCCTAGGACCCAAAAGTACAAGTGACAAAACAATTAATTGGACTTTATCAAAATTAAATACTTTTGTACTATAAAAGACACCATCAATAAAGTGAAACTTACAGGATGGAAGAAAATATTCAGAAATCATACACCTTATTGTTTTAGATTAGATAAATAATACAACACAATCATATTGTATATAAATAAATGGGCAAAGTATGTGAATAAACATTTCTTCAAAGAAAACGTACAAATGGCCAAGCACATGAAAAAGATGCTGAAATTCATTAGCTATCAAGGAAATACAAATGAAAGCCACAATGAGATACCTACCACTTCACAACTACTAGGATGGCTATATTAAAACAGACATAATAATAAGTATTAGCACATTTGTGTTTGCTGGTGGTCACCTAAAATGGTGCAGCCACTTTGGAAAACAATTCCACAAAAAAAGTTAACCATAAAGTTATACAACTCAGGAATTCCATTCCTAGGCATATACTCAAAATAACTTAGAACATAGGTCCACACAAAAAAACCTGTATGCAAATGTTCATAGCAGTATTGCTCATGGTAACCAGAAGACGGGACAACCCAATTGTCCATCAACAAATAAATACATAAACAACATGCGATATAGCCACACGATGAAATATTATCAAAATAAAAAGAAAGTAAATATGGCCATGCACTACAACATAAATAAACATCAAAAACCTTATGTCCAATCAAGGAAGTCAGGTTCAAAAGGCTGCATATTGTATAATTTAATTTATCTGAAATGCCTATAATTTATATGAAATGTTCGTAAAGACAAAAAGTAGATTAATAGTTGCCTGACTTGGGTATGGAAATGAAAGTTGTCTGCAAATAGGCATAAGGGATCTTATTGGGATGGTGAGAATTTTCTAAAAATTGAGATGATAGTTGAACAACTCAGCAAATTTACTAAAATTTACTGAAATACACTTAAAATGACTTCTACAAGATTTATGATTTCCTTTATAATGCTGTTCATACTGTCAAACGTTCATTCAATTATTTAGTAGGGTTTTTTGGTCTATCTCCTTCTAATAGACTGCAAGCTACATAAAGAATCATGTCTGTCTTATTCACCACGGTATTGTCAACACTTTGCACAGTACCTAGCAAATAGTAGGTACTCAGCTAATATTTAGTGAATAAATTTTTTTCCCTGTGGAATTCTTTGTTATCATAAAAATTGGAAGTGACTTAAGTGACTGACTATATGAAAAGACTAAAGAATTTATGGTAAGTGTCTAATATTAAATATTATGACATGCTTTCAAAATAATGTAGAGCTACATGTACTGCCATTGAAAAAAGCTAAGATTAAAGTTAAGTAAAAAACTGCATCACAAAATAGCATACTTAGTGTCAAGATTAAGATCATGAATTTGAATCCTGACTTTGCCATTTAGTATCTTATGATCTTGGACAAGTTACGTACCTGATTAGCACCCCAAAACAATATGCTGAAATGCAGGCTGCTAACCAAATATTTATTCCTCCTATTTTTATTAATGGTCACTTAATTCTGCTTGAAATATCTTTCTTCTCATCTACTTTTCTTGGTTACATACATTTGCTCTTTTATATCCAGATTAGGGTTCACTTTTTCTAGGAAGCCTTTTGGCCCATTCATATCCAGAATAGGTGAGGTATGCATCTACTATACCCTTGTAATACCCACTGTTGAATTATAACATAGGATTTATTTGAATGAATTAGGGTGGTGACTTTATTTGTAAATTTTCCGCCCTTAAGTATCAGCTCCTTGTGGGAACGAGACTATTTCTAATTCACTTCTATATCAAGAGTGCCTATTAAAATGCCTGGTACAATGTGATTCACTTAATTTTGGTGGATGTAATTCATTCATTCGTCTATACATTAGTCACTTTTTCAAGAGAACATGTCTGGACAGTAAATGGTAGTGTTTGGACCCAAACACATATCTTTTTATTTTATGTTTAAGGTTTTTTCCATTGTAACATTCTATAATATCTTACATTTTCTCTAGGATACCAAATCTCAAAAAGCACTTCTAAATATGAAATTATCTTATTTAATTATCACAAATGCTCTGGTAAATTATCAGTAGTGTTCTCATTTACAGATGTGGTACATAGAGGTAAAATACTTTGCCCAAAGTAACAAAGTTAGAGTGGCAGTAGTGACAGAACTAAACCATGTTTCTCACACTGCCTATTGATTTTCTTTCCACTCAATCATACTGTATGGATGAATTGATTAAGTTTTTTATTGGCTTAGAGATGAATAGCAATAACTTTACACTGATCCTATTTATTTATAGAGAGCTTCTAAGATGTCAATACAAACAACTTTAGGATTGTGGCAACTTTTTCTTCACTCCCATTATGTAAGCAGAGAAATGAGGCATCCCCTTTGAAAGATAAACTTGTCAAAACCCATTATTTTGTTACATTTTGTTAGTATTGTCATTTCTTTAATTACTATTGAAGTGGTATGGTTTTTATGTACTTATTGAACATTTTAAAATTTATTCTTTTGTGACTCACATATTTTTTTTCTTTCCAACTTTTATTGTAGGTTCAAGGGGTACATGTGCAGGTTTGGTACATAGGTAAATTTTATCTTGCAGAGGTATAGTGTACAGATAATTTTGTCACCCTGCTAATCGGCATGATACCCAATAAGCAGTTTTTCCTCCTTCCACCCTCCACCCTTGAAAACCAAATACTGCATGTTCTCACTTCTAGTGAGAGCTAAACACTGAGGATCTGTGGACTCAAAGAAGGAAAAAATAGACACTGAGGCCATTTAAGTGGCTTTCAAGTGACCGTCTTTTGTCATTGAACTTCAAGTTGACAGTGAGATGTCATGTGAAAGTTATGAAATTATGCACTTCATTGATGGAGTGTGTAATTAAAAAAATTTATTTAGGAATCTTTAGTAGTTAACTTGCTGTTCGACCAACATTTTACAAATCAGGAATATTTTATCAAATATTACAGTCAAAGGTTTGAGTCCTACATTCCTCTTTATTTTGTCTTCTCCTCAAACATTTGCTAAGGAACAGATTTACTTTGACATGAAAATGTTTAATCTCAGCTAGTTAGTTTGAACAGTGATTTAATGACAGCTAGCCGGGTAAATAGGCTAGTTATGTATTATGAACATGAAGTCCTGTACTCTACATAATCATCTGGATACATCTTTAAATCATATAAATTGTAGATGATCATAGAAATACTGAGATTATCTGTGCCTGCTGCTTTTCAGAGACAGAGGCTTTAGGTCAACGAAGATACTCAGATATATGAATAAACTTGGTTGAACACCACTGCCATTAGAAATACCCTAGTACTTGAGGAGACAATCTCCATTTCTCTATAATTGTTTCTGGCCTAATTATTTTTTCTTGCTTAATATAAGAAGACTGTTAGATATAGTAGACTGGACATCAACTTAAGCTCAATTTCGAAAGGGCAGTTTTTCATTTTTAAGGCATAATTATCTATGGATAATTAGCTGCAGGTGGCAAAATAATAGACACAGTTCACTACACATGAAATTAGCCAACTGTTGGCTTTCTGGGCTAGTTTACAGAGAAATTGACCACTTGAAAGTTATTTAGTGAGTTCAAGTAGCAAATTACACATAATTATTTGATGATCTAATTATTCCACATGCAGTTAATTTTGAACTGACAATTGTGTGTGATTAATAGAATGGCTGTGTAAGCTCATTTATTATAAAGGTATCTTGTAAGCTTGCCTAGAACACTGAGGGGATAATGTAAGATCATGCAGATGTTACAAATCTTTCCAGACAGCCAGGAAGGTTTGGGAAATTAAAGAATCGGGGAACACATATTAAGCACCTACTCTGTGCCAGGCACCATTCTTGGCACTGGGAATACAAAGAGAAACAAGATACAATCTTTGTTCTTTAGCCACTTTTACACAGATCTGTATAAAATATGTCAACCGTTATGTTGTAATAGTTATGAAATTAAGTGCTATAGGAATTCTGATAAAAGTGACAACTTATTTTAAATCTGTATACATACTCCATTTCTACTTTTAGTCTAAGTTACTGTAATTACATGTCTAAATTTTTGCATGGCCAGCCACTCCTTAGTCATCTGGCTCTCTGCTCATATATTATATTTTCAGAGATACCCTATTCATCACTCATTTAAATGACGTCACCATTCTAATCCTTGGTCATTTGTTCTATTGTTTTATAGCTCACATTATTACCTGACATTATTTTATGTATTTATATTTGTATTAACTATCTCCACAGAAGTCATTTGCAACAAATTGAATGGAACTGGAGATGGTTATATTAAGTAAAATAAGCCAGGCACCAAAAGACAAACATTGCATGGTTTCACTTATTTGTGGGATCTAAGAATCAAAACAATTGAACTCATAGACATAGAGAGTAGAAGGATGGTTACCATAGTCTGGGAAGTGTAGTGTGATGCTGGGGATGGGGAATGGTTAATGTGTACAAAAAAATAGAAAGAATGAATAAAACCTACTATGATAGCACAACAGCATGACTATAATCAATAATAAGTTAAAGAGTGTAATTGGATTGTTTGTAACTCAAAGGGTAAGTGCTTGAAGAGAAGGATACTCCATTTTTCCATGATGTGCTTATTTCACATTGCATACATGTATCAAAACATCTCATGTACCCCATAAACATATATACCTACTGTATACCTACAACAATAAAAATGTTTAAATAATTGAAAAAAATTATTCCAACTGAAGAAGCATATTACAGCTGACTGAATGCAGAAATAGGAAAATGTAGTGTTTTCTATTTAGGCAGGCACCTAAGACTAGAAGTCCTCACTTCTAACTATTTTGAAATGTACAATACATTGTTTTTAAGTATAGTCAACCTACTCTACTCTCGAACATTAGAGCTTATTTCTTTTATCTACCTGTATGTTTCCAGCCATTAACCAGTCAGTCTCTCTTTATCTCCCTCCACACACTCACATTCTCCCCTGCCTCTGGTAATTATCTTTCTAAAGTTTATAAGATAAACTTTTTCCTATTTTTTCTTATTAATGGCTTCACAAGGAACATATTTCAATTAAAACTTTTATTTCCTATTTGTGTAATTTCTTAACAGAAAGGGGCCATATCATGCCTCACTATTATGAATATACAAGATGAAATATGTAAAATTGCATAATGCACAGATGTAGCAGTTAAAGAAGGCCACAGATCTCAGGGAGAATTCCATGATCTGTATCCCTGTATTCCATCCTGTATCAAACAAGATGATGGGCTGGTATTTCATGTAATGATTTTCAGTTTTAATCTTCTTAAGAGTTAAATATTGCTTCTTTCTACTTTACATTTTTTCTACTGTCATCTAATTTTTCTACTGAGTTTTAGCAAATTGAATGTGGGTAGTCCCAGATACTTGGTAGGCTGAGGTGGGAGGATCACTTGAGCCTGGGAGGTCAAGGCTGCAGTGGGCCGTCATCACAACACTGCACTCCAGCCTGGGCAACAGAGTGAGACCCTGTCTCAAAAAAAAAAAGCAAACTACAACTTTTTTTTAGACATGGGGGTACATGGGGGTACCCAGGTTTGTCACATGTGTATATGGTACCCAGGTAGTGAGCACAGTACCCAGTAGCTACTTTTTCAACCCAAGATTCCTGCCCCCTCCCCCTCTAGTAGTCCACAGTGTTTATTATTCCCATGTTTATGTCCATGTGTGATCAATGTTTAGTTCCCACTTATAAGAGAGAACATCACCCAGCTCCATTCGTGTTGCAGCAAAGGACATGATTTTATTATTTTTTATGGCTGCCTAGTCTTCCAGGGTATATATGCACATTTTATTTCTCCAATGTACCATTGATGGGCACCCAGGTTGATTCCATGTCTTTGCTACTGTGAATAGCATAGTGATTAACATATGAATGAATGTATCTTTTTGATATAATAACCTGTTTTCCTTTCGGTATATGCCCAGTGAAACCCATTGTTTGGATCCAATATGTTTGTTTGTTTTTGCAAGCTGATGAATTCGTATTAATATCTCATGGCTAGAGTTCTGAAATAAAAGCTATAAAAGCTATAGGATCTTTGTGTGTGTGTGTGTGTGTGTGTGTGTGTGCGCGTGCATGTGCACGTGTACTAAAAAGGCTTTTATGATTTTTTGTTTTGTTTTCTTTCCTATGACCTTGTTCTTCTTGAGAAAATTGTTCTTTAATTGTTTTTAACAACCTGACATCCCTTAAAGAAAACAGAGAAGGCACCAGACTCATTTTTGGGGAGAATCCTTTTTTGCCTTATGGAACCCCAAGAGCATAAACAGACAAGTTTCCTCTCAGATCTTAAACTGCTTGCTTTTGTGTTACGTTATCTGTTTTTTGTTTTTTTTTTTTTTTCCAACTAAAGTAGTTACTACAACAGAGGCTACTCCTGGATGTTTAAAATAAGAGAGAGTGTAGCTTAGACACTTAGAGAAATGTCTTATAAAAAAAAGAGGGAAGGGAGGGCACTGTGAAAGCATAGACTAGCCTCATCATAATTCTCTTTAAGGAGACCCAGAATACAGTGTGAGTTCTGTCCAGAGCTCAGAAGTCAAGTTAAACGATGGAGACTAAAATTAGAACTACCCATCTAAATAAAATTGATCTTCTTTTACAATCCTATGATAGATTTCTATAATTTTCTGTTTAACTTGGCAATTAAATCCATTTTAATTTCGTTCTAGCACACCAGACTTTCTCTCTGTACTTTGAGATGTAAATTTTGCTGTCTGATTTTTCACCTAAGAGTTGTTTCCTTTAATATGAAAATTTAGGGCTATCTAGCTGACAACTGCCTAGGGTAATGAGGCAGATTATCAAGAATTTGGAAGTTAAAAATAGAAAAAAAAAGGTCTTATGAATGTAATATGTACTTCTATAGGCATGTATTTGTGTCATGTACATAATGTTTCACTGCTAAAATATATACAAAAGAGCTCTAATTAGTTTAAAGAAAAATAAAAGTGTTTAAATCAAATACTTTAACAGAAAAACAAGACTAAGTTAAATGCTTTTTTCAAGTTCACTTGACTTCAGTGAAATCTTTAATAAATAAACTGGCTTTAAATTATTGGTAAAATAATATTAGAAATGTCTTAAGAATTGTTAGCATTTTTGTTTGCATTTATTAAGTGGTTTCATACTTATCCATGCAGATTATGATAAGGTGTCAAAATCTGCCATAAAGGTTATAAGACTATAAACCTAGCCCAAACAGAATGGCCTTTGCTTATGTAATTTTTGATAAACAAAATATTTTATATTGTTGGTTTAATGAAAACAGCTAAGTCCTGGGTTATTGTTAAAAAAAATCCTCATATTTAACCATAAGCTTTCTTACTCAGCGAAACACCTGAAATTCATAGGTTATAAAAAAAGCTTAACTTTAAGATATGACAGTCACAAGTTTTATAAATAATCGAGGTAAATTATTAAATAATTAAGTAAATGTAATTGAATAAATGTTTTTAAACAAACTTGTCATATAATATAGGCTCTAAGGTAATTAATAGATAGTAATTAAATGGGTAATTTTCAATTTAAAAATTATGGAAAAACATTTTCTTAAAATGTGTTCTTATTAAAAGGTAAATATTTTTGTCTAATTCAAAGTTTATTTAAAGATTATGTATAAAACAAGGTAAAAGGAACTAGAAAATAAAAGATAAAAAGAAAGCTGTAGATATAAAGAGGCATTTTTGGTAAGGAAGGTAAAAAGAAAACTAATTCTATGTGAGAAATAATCTTTTATGGTGAATTTTTGCCCTAAAATAAAATGACTGGGTTGTTCAAGAAGGAAAAATATTTAGGACAAGTGAGAAAGTCAAAGCATGTTGTGAACAGTCTAAGTTGTAACAGGGTAGAAAAGAAATTTATGAAAATGTTATGTGATTAATTGGCTTTAATTTTTAAAAATTATAATAGCTTTTCGAAAATTGAACTTTGATATTACAAATACATGAATACAAAACTAAAGAATTAGTTAAAACAATATTTTATTAAAAATATTGACTTATTTTTAATGCAGGAAGTTTTTCAGTTCTAAATTGTATAATCTGTCTCTTTGAGATTCTTCAGATTGATATTTCAGAAGCTCAGCTCTTTCTCTATTGAAAAGGCCTTGGATGATAACTCCTTCACCTTTTTTTGGCTCCTATAACTTTTTAAATTAATTGTCTAAAGTAAGGGAGATAATATTTTCTGAAAGCAGGCAAATGAAAAATCTTTTGAACCTGCCTTTTTACTCTGCATGCCTATTATATCTATGTTTATATGTGTCATGTGGAAGTGATATTTCACTATTATGCTATATGAAAGAGCTAATCAACGGACTTAAAGGAAAAAAGGTAAGGGCTTATCAGACTGTTAGAAGCTAGCTCAGATACCATTTAGTTCACATTACCTTGTTCTTCTTTGGTAAAATTTTAAACTCAAAACTCTCTCTAGTAATTTCAAATCTTAAAGTCATGTTATGTTAAATTAAGTAATCTTTTTTTTCACTGAGAAATTGGGTTACTAAGTAAGTTAAAATAGTAGGAGTGTCAAAAGTGTTTTGGTAAAGTTATAAAACATAAAGATGTCAATTTTGCTTTAAAAATGTAGTTTTCTAGTAAGGAAACTATTTAAGAGTTGCTTTAAAATGAAGGGAAAATTATACAGATAAAACTAAATGGATTTTAAAAATTAGGCCATGGCATCAAGTTAGCTCTGAGAATTGTGGTTACCAAGAAGATAGTCAATATGGGGGAAGGGCAAAACCAAGTAACTATTAAAACCACAGAGTATAATGTAAAAGATTTGTTGCATTTTGTAGATTGGTATCATCAGCTTCTTGAGACATCTTTACTATAATGGACTGTAAAGATAACCTCTTTAAAGACAAAATTCTTAATTTTAAATACTGGAGAATAAAATAGTTTGGGTTGGTACAGAACCTGCAGCTCACTATTAAATAGTCACTGATGAGTATATGCGACCCAAATGCATGGGAGGTTATTCCTGAGAGAACAACTGGCCTAGTGGACCAGATAAACACCACTTTAATATCTGTTTGCCCTGAGAAGGGGACTGCCTGCCTCTTCCTATAAAATGCTAAGTGGAACACCCCAGATGAAGCAACTAATATGCTTCATATGCAAGCCATGTGTAACTGGCTTTATGATGACCATGATATTCTCCCACTGAATATGCCTGTTAACCCAGGTCATGGTAAATTTTGGGGTTAAGGCGGCCCGTTTTACATGGGCACCCCTCCCATAG
This sequence comes from Homo sapiens, assembly GCF_000001405.40. Taxonomy (NCBI): domain Eukaryota; kingdom Metazoa; phylum Chordata; class Mammalia; order Primates; family Hominidae; genus Homo; species Homo sapiens. The sequence goes on from NC_000023.11 coordinate 146,999,492, forward strand.
AATCATAGGACTGTCCGAGAAGACTTATCAAATTTGCCGTCTCTCATGGATCTTACAGATGCAACTTTCTGCTGGGCACCCAAACCCATCTTCACCAGAAAAGGTAAAATGGTCTGGGGAGAGAAAAAAATAAGTTCCTGGGACCAAAACATAAAAACATACAGGTTAATAGAATTATTAAATTTACGATGTTTAAACAGGCTTTATGTAAGGTAGTTTTAACCCCTCTACCTAAATGTCTTGTGAAAATGGGTATTTGACAAGGGGAGGTTTTTCATATCTAGTACTATAAAACTGAAGGCATGTAAATCTTCTCTTTGAGAAATGTTAATTGGACACTCTGTGAACCAGTAAGATTGCCTGAGCTCACAGACTATAGGGTAAAAGCTAGAGGGGTAGTGAGGACGAATCATCCACTTCATAGCCCTTTGTAGAGCATTTATTGGGGCTTATGGCAAAAGACTGCGAGCACTTCCCAGTGACAATTACTATACTAGAGAATTTTCACTTGAGTGGCATTTACTGTCTTGCTATGGATTGTTAACTGAAGCTACCCTATGCTAATGGAAATAATGGTGCCCGTAAGAGTTCCATGATAAAAATGGTTTATATAGGATCTTGCTGCCTGGGGATACAAGGAGGAGATACCCATGACAGGAGGCCTTTTTTTTCCCCGCTAGGACTGACTCTAACTGTGTGAGGAGCTGCTAAATTCTACAACACCTAATAGCTCCTACCTAACAAGAGCTGCTTAACATGTAAACGGCAGTCCCAAGGTGAACAGATGTCTTGTTTGGAAGGCTGCTATTCTGGTTAAAGGGTCAAGAAAATCATTTTCTTTTGAGTTATTTGGGTGAAGTATGTTTTTGTAAACAAATTTACCTTTCTCTCTGAGTTCTCCAAAATTTGGATTGTGATTTTATGAAAATATAGTTGTTACCGGAAAGGGGACCCAATCCAGACCCCCAAGCGAGGGTTCTTGGATCTCACAAGGATTCAGGGCGAGTCCATAGAGCTATAAAGTAAAAGTAAGTTTGTTAAGAAAGGAATAAAAGAATGGCTACTCTATAGGCAGAGCAGCAGCTTGGGCTGCTGGACTAAGGATACTTATAATAATTTCATGATTATATGCTAAACAAGGGGTGGATTATTCATGAGTTTTCTGAGAAACGGGTGGGCAATTCCCGGAACTGAGGGTTCCTCCCATTTTTAGAGCATATAGCGTAACTTCCTGACACTGCCATGGCATTTTGAAACTATCATGATGCTGATGGGAGTGTGTTTTAGCATGCTAATGCAATATAATTAGCATATAATGAGCAGTGAGGACCACCAGAGGTCACTTTCATTACCATCTTGGTTTCGGTGGGATTTGGCCAGCTTCTTTACCACAACCTGTTTTATCAGCAAGGACTTTATGACCTGTATCTTGTGCCAACCTCTTCTCTCATCTTGTGACTTAAAATGGCTAACCTCCTGGGAATGCAGCCCCGTACGTCCCAGCCTTATTTTACCCAGCCCCTATTCAAGATGGAGTCGCTCTGGTTTAAACAACTCTGAAACAGTTATTTGCGTAAGTTTAGTAAGAGTCTTTTAAAACAGAACAATTGGAGACACTGGTTATTTTATCAAGATTTTGACTAAAATAGCATATTTTTAGGTAAAGTTCCAGAAAAGCCAAATAAAAAGGAGTTTATATGGCTAATACATTCTTGCTGCATTTTATACAAATAATCAGGCCAAGTACGATAAGCCTATATTTATTTTGTACACAAATTGTTCTTACTATAATTTCTCTTCAATAGGAATGGAGGGCTCAAAAGAGAGAGAAATTGTTTCAGTGAAAAAGTAAAATACTTGATACTAGATTACAGCCCTACCTTTCGTGTGTGTGTGTGTGTGTGTGTGTGTGTGTGTGTGTGTGTTTTTGAGTGCAGTTTGAATCATGAACTACTTCTTGGCTATATCATCCTCTAAAGAGTACCAGATTATAATTTTTCTTTGTATCTTTAGTTGGTGCCCTGATGGAATGGGTTCCCTTTTCTGTTCTAACATGCAAATATAAAAATACTCTTTTCATTTTCAAAGTATAATGTTATTTATTTCTTCTTGTTTTACTTCCAAGGAAACCAAAGTCACGGTATTCTGAAGCCCAGATATGCAGATATTTCTCATTTAGCATCCCACTGGGACTGACCTGTTTTTTTGCCTCAAAGGCCTTGTTCATAAAACTATACAAACACCCTTCCTCTATGCCCAGGGACTGTTTAAGAAGAGGTGGGCATTTGCGATTGTAAGGGCTGGTTTTGAGGGATAGAGTTAGGTTAAAGTCAGACCGTCTAAATCAAGGAGGGGTACAAAGATGCTTTGCCTTTGAAGCTATTATCTGTCACTTTTGCATCCATCCCAACCATAAATAATTTTCTGCATCCTGTAGAATGAAAATAAAATATTTACTGACAGGATAAAGATAACTTGTATAAAAAAAAAAAAAAACAAAACTCCTGGGTATAATACTTTCAGTTATGAGTTGTAAAGACAGATATATTTTTTAAAAAATTATTTTTTAGAACAACGCTTATGTTTTGTACAGCTAATTGCTATGTAAGTCTGTAACTACAACCAAGCTTAGGCATAGAATTATGCAAGCTCAATGCATAGAATTTATAGATAAGTCACTTTTTGCCTTTGGTTTTTATTTATTGGTTTTTTACTTAAAATAATAATTTTAATGGGTAATGAATGCCTGTCCACATCCATTCTTATCTGACCTAGAGCATTTAATTGGCTGTACGTCTTTTGACTTTTAAGTCCCTCGGCCATACAGAGTCCCACCGAGGGACAGAATGGACATGGGGCAGGCAGCCATGCCACCCCAGCAATGCTATAACACTGTAATACCTAACCTTGTTAGACTCTCCCTTAGCTACCTAACTTTGTTTTAATATGTTAGACTCTCCCTTAGCTGAGAAAACCGGAGGAACTCCATTTGGCTCCTTCATTTGCAAGACATCAAGGACTCCTTACCCACCCCCTTCCTCAAGGAGTTAACTTGTGTAAGCTGACTCTCAGCATATCAAAGAGTCCAATTAACTGATAAGGTACTGAGGCAAGCTGGTGTCCGCAGTTCCCAACAATGTACTCAAAGATGGTACCATAAAGCCCCCGCATTTGTCCAGTAGATAACGCCCAGAGCCCCCTCACCTATGACTTGGTGGTGAATTTGAAGCCCCTGCACCTGGAACTGTTTGTTTTCCTGTAACCATTTGTCTTTTTAACTTTTTTGTCCGTTTCTCTTCTGTAAAGTTGCTACAGCTAGAATCCTCCTCCCCTCTCTAAACCAAAGTATAAAAGAAAATCTGACCCCCTCTTCGGGGCCGAGAATTTCGAGTGCCAGCCGTCTCTCGGTTGCCGGCAAATAAAGGACTCCTAAATTTGTCTCAAAGTGTGGCATTTCTCTCTAACTCGCTCGGGTACAAGACAAAATAGAGATTTGCTGTCTGTGGATGTTGCCTCTGGCAAATCTTGGCCGGAAGGGAGAGATGTAAACCAAAAATAAAATTCTAAGGCCCCCCAACTATCTGAATCAGACCATGACAGGAAGTAGGGGACCAACATGTCTCATTATAACTCTCTGGCATTAACATCAACAGAGACTTAAAGTCTGATAAACATTTACAATCTGTTTCCTCTGAAGCCTGCCACCTGGAGGCTTCATCTGCATGCTAAAACTTTGGTCTCTACAACCTCTCATTGAAACCCAGATGTTTTTTCCTATTGATAATAACTCTTTCAATCAATTGCCATTTGAAAAATTTTTAAATCTACCTGTAACCAGCAGCTCCTGCTTCAAGTTAACCCACCTTTCCAGACCAAACCAACGTGTATCTTAAATGTATTTGATTGGTGTCTCATGCCTCCCTACAAGCCACACACCAACCACCTTGGGCACATGTTCTCAGGATCTCCTGAGGGCTGTGTCGCAGGCCATGGTCACCTATATTTTGGCTCGGAATAAATCTCTTCAAATATTTTACAGTTTGACTCTCTTCATCAACAGCCACTTGTATGTCTTTTTTTTGAGGAGTGTCTGTTCATGTTCTTCACTCATTTTTTAACAGGGTTGTTTCTTACTTGATTTGCTTAAGTTTCTTAGATATTGTGAATAGTAAATCTTTGTCAGATGGCATGGTTTGTGAGTATTCTCTCCCATTCTGTAGGTTATCTGTTCACTTTGTCGATAGTTTCTTTTGCTGTGCAGAAGGTCTTTAGTTTAACTAGGTTCCAGTTGTCCATTTGTTGTTGTTGTTGCAATTGTTTTTAAGGAGATAGCCAAAAATCAGTTGCTAAGGCCAATGCTGGGAAGGTTATTTCCTAGGTTTTCTTCTAGGATTTTTACAGTTTGAGGTGTTACATTTAAAAATTTTAGTCTTTGAGTTAATTTTTGTATATGATGAAAGGTAAGGGTCTAGTTTTATTCCACTGAATATGACTCGCTAGTTATCCCAGCACCATGTATTGCATACAGAGTCCTTTCCCCATTGCTTGATTTTGTCAGCTTTGTCAAAGATCAGATAGTTACAGGTATGTGGCTTCAATTCTGAGGTGTTTTTGTTTGTTTGTTTTTTTAAGATGGAGTCTCCCTCTGTTGCCCAGGCTGGAGTGCAGCGGTGCGATCTCAGCTCACTGCAATCTCCACCTCCCAGGTTCAAGCGATTGTTCTACCTCAGCCTCCAGAGTAGCTGGGACTACAGGCGCATGTAACCACACCTGGCTAATTTTGTATTTTTACTAGAGACAGGGTTTCACCATACTGACCAGGCTTGTCTCAAACTCCTGACCTCATGATCCGCCTGTCTCGGCCTCCCAAAGTGCTGGGATTACAGGGATGAGCCACCGTGCCCAGCCATTTCTGAGTTTTCTATTCTGCTCCATTGGTCTGTGTATCTTTTTTGTATCAGTACCATGCTGTTTTGGTTACTGTAACCTTATAGAATAGTTTGAAGTTAGGTAGTGTGATGCCTCCAGGTTTATTTCTATTTGCTTAGGATTACTTTGGCTATTTGGGCTCTTTTTTGGTTCCAAGTAAATTTTAGAATAGTTTTTATTTTTATATTTCTGTGAAGAATCACGTAGGTAGTTTAATAAGAATAGTGTCAAATCTGTAAATTGCTCTGGGCAGTATGGCCATTTTAACAATATTGATTCTTCCATTCCATAAGAATAGAATGTTTTTTCATTTATTTGTGTTATCTCTGATTTCTTTGAGCAGTATTTTGTAGTTCTCCTTTTAGATGCCTTTAACTTTCTTGGTTAGCTCTATTCCTAGGTATTTAGTTTTCTCTGCAGCTATCATACATGTTATCGTGTTCTTTATTTGACTCTCAGCCTGTATGATGTTGATGTATATAAATGTTACTAGATGTTTTACATTGATTGTGTATCCTGAAAGATTACTAAAGTTATTTATTAATTCTAGGAGCCTTTAGGATTTTCTAGGCATAGAATCATATTGACAGTAAAGAGAGATAGTTTGACTTCTTTTTTTATTTAGATGCATTTTGTTTCTTTCTCTTGCCTCACTGCTCTGGCTAGGACTTCCAGAAGTATGTTGAATAGGAGTGGTGGGAGTGGGCATCTTTGCCTTGTTTCAGTTCTCAATGGAAATGATTCTAGGTTTTACCTGTTCAGTATGATGTTGGCTGTGGGTTTGTCATAGATGGCTCTTATTATTTTGAGGTATGTTTATTTGATGCCTATTCTGTTGAGGGTTTTTATCATGAAGGGCTGCTGGATTTTATCAAGTGTTTTTTTCTGTATCTATTGAGATGATCATATGGTTTTTGCTTTTAATTATGTTTATATGGTTAACCATAGTTATTGATTTATGTATGTTGAGCCAACCTTGCATCCAAGGAATAAAGCCTACTTGATGGTGGTGAATTGAATTTTTGATTTGCTGCTGGATTCTACTTGCTAGTATTTTGTTGATGATTTTTGTGAATATGTTCATTATGGATATTGGCCTGATATTGTATTTTTTTATCATGTCTCTGCCAGATATTGGTATTAGGCTGATGCTGGCTTCATAGAATGTATTAGGGAGGGGTCCCTCCTCTCCATTTTTTGGAATACTTTCAGTAGGATTGGTACCAGTTTTTGTTTATAAGACTGGTAGAATTTGGCTGTGAATTCATCTGACCCAGGGCTTTTTTTGGGTCAATAGGTATTTTATTGCTGATTCAATTTCAGAGTTTGATATTGATCTAGTCAGGGCTTCAATCTCTTCCTGATTCAATCTTGAGAGATTGTGCATTTGCAGGAATTTATCTATTTCCTCTATGCTGTCTAATTTGTGTGCAAAGAGTTGTTTATAGTATTTGCTGCAGATCTTTTGTATTACTGTGGGATCACCTGTAATGTCATCGTCGTCATTTCTGGTTGTCCTTAGTTGGATCTTCTCTTTTTTTTTCTTTGTTAATCGTGGTCTGTTCATCTCGTTTATTTTTTCAAACAGTCAACTTTGCTTTCAGTGATCTTCTGTGTGGATTTTTGTAACTCAAATTTATAAAGTTCTTCTCCAATTTTAGTCATTTATTTTCTTCTGCTAGCTTTGGGGCTGGTTTTGTTGATTTTTTTTCCTAGTTGCTGTTGTCTTCTAGGTGTCATTCTTTTTATTTCATGTTTAGCACTCCTTTAAGGTCATCCTGTAAGGCTGGAATAAAAAATTCAGGTCATGTTTGTGAATAGTTTTGCATGATGTGTAGGTACCAACTCAAAGTGAACAGTTGCAACACTGCAGCCCCTTTCTGGGATATCCCTGAAGGACAGTTGTAAAGGGGAATTCCCACAGTGGGCAGAAATTTGAGCAGCACACATGGTTGATCACTTTTCTTGAAAGGAGGAAGGGCCAGATACATAATTACGTATTAATTCATGGGCTGTGGCCAATGGTTTGGAACAACAATTGACCCATGTTCATGGAATATGCTGGTCTTGCTATGTTTCTCATTATCCTAAAATTTCTGGTTTGATACAATGATAAAATGGCTTTTTGAAGGTTCAGTTACAATGTCAGCTAGATGGCAATACTTTGCAAGATTCTCCAGAAGACTATCTATAATCTGAAGCAGCTTCCAATACATGGTGCTATTTTTTTTAATTGCCAGGATTTATTGGTTCAGGAATCAAGGGGTGAAAGAATGATTGGCACCACTCACCATTACCCCTAGTCGCCCACTAGCAGAAATTGTATTTCCTGTTCCCATGACTTTATGCTTTGCTAGCATAGAGGTCTTAGTGCCAGAGGGAGAAACGCTTCCACCAGGAGACACAGCCAAGATTCCACTGAACTAGAAGACTGACATCCAGCTACATTGGGCTCCTCATGTCTTTGAGTCAATAGGCCAAGAAAGGAGTTATGGTGTTGGCTGAAGTGGTTGATCTTGACTAACAAGGGAAATTATATTACTGTTCCACAACGGAAGTAAGGAAGAATTTGTTTGGAATACAGGAGACCTCTTAAGGCATCTCTTAATATTACCATACCCTGTGATTAAGGCCAATATAAAGCAGAAAAACCCAACCCAGGCAGGACTATGAATGTCCCAGATCCTTTAGGAATAAAGTTGTGGGCCACCCTGCCAGGTAATAAACCATGAACAGCTGATGTGCTTGCTGAAAGCAAAGGGAACACAGAGTGAGTAGTAGAAAAAAGTAGGTATAAATACCAGCCATGGCCGGCTGCAGTGGCTCACGCCTGTAATCCCAGCATTTTGGGAGGCTGATGCAGGTGAATCACAAGGTCAGGAGTTCGAGACCATCCTGGCCAACATGGTGAAACCCTGTCTCTACTGAAAATACAAAAAAAAAAAAAAAATTAGCTGGTCGTGGTGGCAGGTGCCTGTAATCCCAGCTACTCGGGAAGCTGAGGCAAGAGACTTGCTTTAACCCAGGAGGTGGAGGTTGCAGTGAGCCAAGATCGCACCACTGCACTCCAGCTCAGGCAACAGTGCGAGACTCCGTCTCTAAATAAATACATAAATAAATAGCAGCCACAACCATGTGATCAGTTACAGAATTGAGGACTATGATTGTCATGAGTATTTCCTTTCTATTTGGCTAACAACCCGTTCTAATTGTGTGTGTGTGTGTGTGTGTGTGTATAGCTATATATATATGTATATATCGCAAATGTCCTTGTTTTCTTTACTCTCTTATTCCCTTGTCTTATACCATAGCATGTATTGACTTTATATGAATATTAAGGTATTGTTAATTTTGCATCAGAGTATATAAGTTATTGAATATCATGGAGAAAAGTAAATATCATTCAAGTACTTCACCTCCTCTTCTGAGATGGCTTTTATGCATTTTTAGTTGTAGGGAAGATATTTGTTTTACCTTAGGCAGAATAACACCTTTGGAATAAGAAATACACATTGTTATTGTCGTTTTATTTGGATAATTAAATACGGTTTAAGGAGATACGTATGAGTGCCAGTGTGACAAGGGATGGACTTAGGATAGTAGTCCAATTATACTCTTTTAGTTATTTTATAAAGTACAATTACAGTACAATTAAATTATTATTTACTATAGTCATGCTGTTGTGCTATCAAATACTAGGTCTTATTCATTCTTCCCTTTTATTTTGTACCCATTAACCATTCACATTTTCTCCACTCCCTCCCACCCCCCATTATCCTTCCTAGCCTCTGGTAACCATCCTTCTACTCTCTATGAGTTCAGTTGTTTTTATTTCTACCTTCCACAGATAAGTGAAAATATGCAAAACTTGTCTTTCTTTGCCTGGCTTGTTTCACTTAACATAATGACCTCCAGTTCCATCCATGTTGTTCCAAATGATAGATTCTCATTCTTTTTCATTGCTGAATAGTGCCCCAAAGTATATATGGACCATATTTTCTTTATCCATTCATCTGTTTATGAGTATTTAGATTGCTTCCAAACCCTGGCCTTTGTGAATAGTGCCGCAATAAACATGGGAATGCAGATATCTCTTTGATATATTGATTTCGTTTCTTTTGGGTATATACGCAGCAATGGGATTACTGGATCATATGATAGCTCTAATTTTTTTTTTTTTTTTGAGGAACCTCCAAAGTGTTCTTCATAGAGGTTGTACTAATTTACATTCCTACCAACAGGGTGCAAGGATTCCCTTTTCTCCACATCCTTACCAGCAATCGTTATTGCCTGTCTTTTGGATATGAACCATTTTAACTAGGGTGAGATGATATCTCATTGTAGTTTTGATTTGCATTTCTCTGATGTTCAGTGATCTTGAGTGCCTTTTCATATACCTGTTTGCCATTTGTATGTCTTCCTTTCAGAAATGTCTATTCATCTTTTTACTCCATTTTTAAATGAGATTATTAGATTGTTTCCTATAGAGTTATTTGAGCTCTTTACATGTTCTGGTTATTTATCCCATGGGAGATGGGTGGTTTGCAAATGTTTTTTTCTCATTGTCTGGGTTGTCCTGTCACATTATTGATTGTTTCCTTTTCTGTGCAGAAACTTTTCCACTTGATGGGATCCCATTTGTCAATTTTTGTTTTGGTTGCCTGTGCATGTGGGGTATTACACAAGAAATCTTTGCATAGTCCAATTCCACAATGGATTCTTTTTAGTAGTTTCATCGTGTAAGAACTTAGACTTAAGTCTTTACTGCATTTCATTTGATTTTTATGTATGGTGAGAGAGAGAGGTCTAGTTTCATTCTTTTGCATATGAATATTCAGTTCTCTCAGCACCATTTATTGAAGAAACACTCTTTTCCTCAGTGAATGCTTTGGCAACTTTGTTAAAAATGAATTCAGTGCTGATGTATGAATTTATTTCTGAGTTTTCTATTCTTTTCCATTGGACTGTGTTTCTGACTTTATGCAAGTGTCATGCTTTTTTGGTTACTATAGCTCTGCCATTTAATTTGAGGTCAGGTAATGTGATTTTTTTCCAGTTTTGGTTTTTTGCTCAGGAGAATTTGGCTATTCCTGGTGTTTTGTGGTTCTATATCAATTTTAGAATTGTTTTTCTTTTGCTGTGAATAATTTCATTGATGTGTTGATAGGGATTGCAAGGAATCTGTAGATTGAACATTTTAATAATATTGATTCTTCTAATCCAAGAACACAAAATATTTTTCCATTTTTTTGTCCTCTTTAGTTTCTTGCATCAGTGTTTTATAGTTTTCATTTTAGAAATCTTTTACTTATTTGGTTAATTTTTAGATATTTCATTGTATTTTATTTGTTCACTGTTGGCATACAGAAATGCTACTGATTTTTGTATGCTGATTTTGTGTCATGTAACTTTTCTGAATTTCTTTATCAGTTCTTATAGTGTTTTCTAGGTTATTTAGGCTTTTCTAAATATAAGAACATACCATCTGCAAACAATTATAATTTTACTTCTTCCATTCCAATTTGGATGCCCTTTAAATCTTTCTCTTGTCTGATTTGTCTTGCTAGGTCTCACAGTACTATGTTGAATAACACTAGTGACAGTGGGCATCCTTGTTGTGTTCCAGATGTTAGAGGAAGGGCTTTGAGTTTTTCTACATTCAGTATGGTCTGTCATATATGGCTTTTTAAAATATTTATGTACGTTCCCTCTATCACCAATATTTTGATGGCTTTAATCATGAAGTGATGTTTAATTCTATCAAATGCTTTTTCCTAATCAGTTGAAATAATCATAGGGTTTTTACCCTTCACTCTGTTGATATGATGTATCACATTGGTTGATTTGCATATATTGAATCATCCTTGCATCCCTAGGATAAATCTCCCTTGTTCATGAAGGATAATTTTTTAATGTGTTGCTGAATTCAGTGTGCTAGTATTTTGTTGAGAATTTCTGCATCAATGTTCATCAGAGATATTGGCCTGTAGTTTTCTTTTTCTGGTTTGTCTTTGTCTCATTTTGATATCAGGGTAATAATGGCCTCATAGAATGAGTCAAAGTGTTCCTTCCTGCTCTCTTTTCTGGAATAGTTTGAGAAGGATTGGTATTAGGTCTTCTCTAAATAATTGGTAGAAATTAACAGTGAAGTCATCAGGTCCAGCTTTTCTTTGCTGGGAGACTTTTTATTATGGCTTTGATCTCATTACTTGCTGTTGGTCTGTTCATGTTTTAGATTTCTTTATGATTTAATATTGATAGGTTTTAGGTATCTATAATTATATTTCTTTATTGTTGATTTTCTAATTTGTTAGCATATAGCAGCCACTAATGATCCTTTGAATTTTTGTGGTATCAATTATATTGTTTCCTTTTTCATCTCTGATTTTACTTATTTGGGTCTTCTTTCTTTTTTCCTTAGTTTGTCTGGCTAAAGATTCGTGAATTTTGTTTATCTTTTCAAAAATGCCCTACTTTTTTGTCCATTGTTCTTTTCTATTTATTTGTTTCAATTTAATTTATTTCTGCTTTGATACTTTAATTTCTTTTCTTCTACTAACTATGGGTATTTTTTGTGCTTGCTTTCCTAGTTCTGTAAGATGCATTGTTAGGTTATTTCTTTGACATTTTTCTTCTTTTTAATATAGGAATTTATAGCTATAAACTTCCCTTTCTGTATCACTTTCATTGTATCCCATAGATTTTGTTATAATGTGTTTCCATATATCATTTTTTTCAAGAAATTATTCAATTTTCTTCTTAATTCATTGACCAACTAGTCACTCAGGAGCACACTGTTTAAATTTCACATGTTTTTATGGTTTCCAAAGTTCATCTTATTATTGATTTCTACTTTTATGTCATTGTAATCAGATTAGGTGGTTGATATTATTTCAAGTTTTGAATGTTTTAAGACTTTTTTTTTTTTTGTCTACCATGGTCTTTCCTTTAAAGAAATCCATGTGCTGAGAAGCAAAAAAGTGTATTCTGTTGGTGATGAAAAACTGTAGTGTAACTATGTTTTGGGTACATTTGATCTACAGTGCAGATAAAGTGTGATGTTTCTTTGTCAATTTTCTCTCTGGATGATTTGGCTAATGCTAAAAGTAGGGTGCTGAAGTCTACAGTTGTTATTGTATTAGGCTCTATCTCTCACTATAGCTCTAATAATATTTACTATATATTATTTATAACATTATACTATACAAATCTATAGTAAATTAATATTGTATATATTATATAGTATATAAATTTATACATAGTAAATTTATATTATGTATTTATAATATATGAATATTATATAATATATAAATGATATATATAACAATATAGGTACTATATGTAACACATAATACATTAATAATATATTATTTTTAATATATTTACTATATATATGTTACTATATATATAAATATGTACCCAACGCTGGAGAAAATATATATGTATGTTTGCTCTAGTGTTGGGTGCATATATTTAAAACTGATATATCATCTTGTTGAGTTGACCCCTTTATCATTATATAATCACCTTCTTTGTATTTTATTACACTTTTTTTTCTTGAAATCTATTTTTTTCTGATATAAGTATAGCTAATCTTGCTTTTGCTTTGGTTTCCATGTCATGGAATATATTTTTTCCATTCCTTCATTTTCAGTACGTGTGTGTCTTTATAAGTGAAATGTGTTACTTGTAAGCAATCAATCTTTGGATCTTGCTTTTATTATCCCTCAGCCACTCTATGTCTTTTCTTTCAATTTTTTTTTCTTTTTCTTTTTTTTTTTTTTTTTTTTTTTTTTTTTTGACAGAGTCTCGCTCTGTCACCAGGCTGGAGTGCAGTGGGATGATCTCGACTTACTGCAACCTCCGCCTCCTGGGTTCAAGCGATTCTTCTGCCTCAGCCTCCCAACTAGCTAGGACTACAGGCACGAGCTACCACACCTGGCTAATTTTTATATTTTTGGTAGAGACGGGGTTTCACCATGTTGGCCAGGATGGTCTTGATCTCCTGATCTCGTGATCTGCCCTCCTCAGCCTCCCAAAGTGTTGGGATTACAGGCATGAGCCACCGCACCCGGCCACTCTATGTCTTTTCATTGGAGGATTTAGTTTATTTACATTCAATAATATTGATGCTAAGTAAGGACTTACTATTGCTATTTTATTATTTGTTTTCTGGTTGTTTTGCTATATTCTCTTTTTTTTCCTTCCTTCCTGTCTTCCTTTAAGTTAAAGTGATGTTCTTTTGTAGTATGATTTACTGAATTTTTTTTGTATGTTCATCCGTTGTGATTTTGACTTGTGATTACTTTGAGGTTTGCAAATACTAACTTTTAACTCATTGTTCTAAACTGATAACAACTTAACACTGACTGCATAAGCAACTGAATAAACAAAAAGAAAACTAATAAAAACTCTACAGTTTAAGTTCCCCCACCATTTTTAACATTTTGCTCTTTCTGTATACACTTTATTCTGTCTTGAAAAGTTGTCGTAGTTGTCATTATTCTTTGATTTATATTTTTGTCTTTCTACTTAAGAATAGTTTACACTCCCCAACTACACTGTTATAGTTGTCTGTATTTTTTGTGTGTACTTATTATAACTAGTGAATTTTGTACCCTCACATGATTTCTTATTGCTCATTAAAGTTTTTTTTTTTTTCTGATTGAAGAATTCTCTTTAGTGTTATTTTGGGATGTCTGGTGTTGGTGTCTGGGAATGTTTTTATTTTATTTATGTTTGAAGGATATTTTCACTGGATATCCCTCTCTAGGATATAAATTTTTTTCTTCAACACTATAAAGAGGTCATGCTGCTCTCTCCTGGCCTGTAAGCTTTCCACTGAAAAGTCTGATGCTATACATATAGGAGTTCCATTGTGTGTTATTTAAGACTATTCCCTTGCTGTTGAATTATCACTGTTACATGACAACCTAATTGTATACTTAGAAAACCCTAAAGACTCTTCCAGAAGACTCCCAGATCTAGTAAATGAATTCAGTAAAGTCTCAGGATACAAAATCAATGTATAGAAATCAGTGGCTTATACACTGTTGGTGGAAATGTAAATTGGTTCAACCATCGTGGAAGACAGTGTGGTAATTCTTTAAAGATCTAAAACAGAAATCCCATTCAACCCAGAAATCCCATTACTGGATATATACCCAAAGGAATATAAATCATTCTATTAAAAAAAAAAAACATGCCCACATATTTTCACTGAAGTACTATTTACAATAGCAAAGTCAAGAAATCAAAACCTAAATGCCCAGCAATGGTAGACTAGATAAAGAAAATGTGGTACATATACACATGGATTACTATGCAGCCATAAAAAAAAGAATGAGATCGTGTTCTTTGATGGAACATGGATGGAGCTGGAGGCCATTATCCATAGCAAACTAATGCAGGAACAGAAAACCAAATACTGCATATTCTTACTTATAAGTGGGAGCTAAATGATGAGAAAACATAGACATATAGAGGGAAACAACACACACTGGAGCCTGTAAGAGGGTGGAGGATGAGAAAATAGAGAGGATTAGAAAAAATAACTAATAGGTACTAGGCTTAATACCTGGGTGACAAAATAATCTGTACAACAAACCCTCCCCCATGACACAAGTTTACCTATATAACAAACCTGGACATGTACCCCTGAACTTAAAATAAAAGTTAAATTTTAAAAAAAGAAATAGCATTTCTATTTACCAATGACATTCAAACTGGGAACCAAGTTAAGAACTGAGTCTCTTTTACAATAGCCACAAAAATATAAAATACCTAGGAATACATTTAACCAAAAAGATAAAGTATCTTTAAAAAAAGAACTACAAAACACTCATGAAAGAGATTGTAAATGACACAAATAAATGAGAAAACATTCCATGCTCATGGACTGGAAGACTCAGTATCATTTAAATGACCATTTTATCCAAATAAATCTGCACATTTAATACAATTTCTATCATATTATCAGTGTCATTTTCACAGAAATATTATAAAAAATTCTAAAGTTCATATGGAACAAAAAAAGCCTGAATATTCAAAGAAATCCTAAGCAAAAAAAAAAAAAACAATGCATCAGATTGCATGACTTCAAATTATACTATTAGGCTGCAATAACTAAAACAGCATGATACTGGTGCAAAAATAGTCACATAATTCAATGGTACAAATAGAGAACACAGAAATAAAGCCACATACCTACAACAAACTGATCTTCAATAAAGTCAACAAAAATAAACAACTGGGATAAGACGCCCTATGTCATAAATAGTACTGGGAAAACTGGCTAGACATATGCAGAAGAAAGAAATTGGACCTCTGTCCTTCAACATATAAAAAAAAATTATCTCAAGATGAATTAAAGACCTAAATTTAAAACCTGAAACTATAATAATACTAGAAAAAATTATTTTAGGGATCTTGTGGATATTGGGCTAGGCAACAAATTTATGATGAAGAATCAAAATACAAATGCAACAGAAACAAAAATAAATGAGACTTAATAAAACTAAAAAGTTTCTGCTCAGCAAAAGAAGTAATCAATAGGATAAACAGACAGCCTACAGAATGGAAGAAAACATTTATAAATTATGCCTCCAACAAAGAATTATTATATAGTATCTACAAGGAACTCAAAACAACTCAATGACAATGAATGAACACTAATAATCTCATTAAAAAGTGGGTGAAGATTATTAACAGACATTTCTCAAGAGAAGAAATACAGGTAGTCAACAAACACATGAAAAAATGTTCAACATTACTAATAATCAGAGGAATGCAAATTAAAACCACTCTACAATGACATTTCACACCAGTCTAAATGACTTTTATTAAAAAGTTAAAAACACAATAAATGTTAGTGTGGATGTGGAGAAAAGGGTATGTTCATACACTGTTGGTGGAAATGTAAATTAGTCCAACCTCTTTGAAAAACAGTATGGAAGGCCAGGCTCAGTGGCTCACACCTGTAATCCCAGCAATTTGGGAGGCCAAGGCGGGCAGATCATGATGTCAAGAGATCGACACCATCCTAGCCAACATGGTGAAACCCCGTCTCTACTAAAAATACAAACATTAGCTGGGCATGGTGGCACATGCCTGTAGTCCCAGCTACTCAGGAGACTGAGGCAGGAGAATCGCCTGAACCCAGGAGGCGGAGGTTGCAGTCAGCCGAGATCGTGCCACTACAGTCTGGTGACAGAGCGAGATTCCGTCTCAAAAACAAAACAACAACAACAAAAAAAACAGTATGGAGATATCTTAAAGAACTAAAAGTAGGGCTACCATTTGATTAAGAAATCCAACTACTGGGTATCTACCCAAGGGAAAAGAACTTATTAAATAAAAAATAAACCTGCACTTATATGTTTATTGTGGCACTATTTACAATAGCAACATCATGGAACCTACCTAAATGTCCACCAAAAGTTGATTGGATAAAGAAAATATGGCACATGTACACCATGGAATACCATACAGCCATACAAAATAATGAAATCATGTCTCTTGCATCAGCATGGATGGAGTTGGAAGCCATTATAAGAAGTGAACTACCACAGAAGCAGAAAATAAAATATCACTTGTTCTCATTTCTAAGTGGGAGATAAACAAGTGGTACACATGGACCTAAAAATGAAGAAAATAGACTCTGGGGACTCCAAAGTTAGGGGATTGGGATAAGAGTTGAAAAATTACCTACTGTGTATATCTGGGTGATGGATACACTAGAAGCCCAATCCTCATTATTATGTAGGTAATACCTATGTAATAAACAAATGTATTGTTCTCCCTGAATCTACATTTGCAAAAAATTTGGAGTTTTATTATCAAATAAATTAATTGTCAAAACAGTATTCATTGCTAACCAATAAGACTTACTTTTTCAGAAAATGCCTGAGTTCATTTTCTTCCAATTCAAGTAAGTGTATTAATAGCATCTCCATGACTGCTTCTCACCTTTAAAATTTAAGATGGAAAATACACAAGGCATTACCTTGAGTCTGTCACCTATCTGAAATACAGCACCACCACTTTCCACATTTCTTAACAGTGTTCTGTTTGTTTTGCTCTCACAAAATTCCACTGACCAGTGAATTCTTTGAAAATACTTGGGTTGTGAAGGTATAGTTCATTAAATAATATTTTTCTATCCCACCCCATGCCACAGTATATCTGAATTCAGAACATCCCCAGATAAGTCCACACACCAGATTTCTACTGCCATTCTTTGTTTAAAGGAAGTTTTACTGATATTCCAAATTTCCTCTTTGCTTAGCACCTCGGGAGGCTGTCAGTACAACCTAAGGCACTCAAGGAAGAATCTAGGTATGTTAGTTGGATGCCTTTTTTATTTTTGTAAATTGGAAGAAGTATAATTTCAATTTTGAAGTGGACATGTGAAAGCAGAACCTGCATGAGGCCTGGACCAGAGGGGTATTCTGACAGGTGAGTTTTAGAGAGTACATAAGGAAGCAGAGGATCAAATAACTAATGTTCTTAGATGTAGTATCTCTCTGGAACATTTGGAAATTTGTTACCTACAGGGGCATGTACTGCACATTAAAGGCCACTGGTTTAGCAGGCATTCACTGAACACTGCTGTGTTTAAAAACAGTAGGTTAAACATTGAGTTGTGGGAGGTTAGAGAGACTTCTGAGCTATAGTCTTTGTCCTGTCAGCTTAGACTGTATGCTCCAAGGGAGTAAAATCAAGGCACAGTGAATGTTCAGCTTGAGCAAAAAATAAAAACAGACTTCTCTCAGGTTTCAAGAGGCAACACCAATACCATACTGTAAAGCGATTTTGCTCGTTTATTTGTTTTATGGTTTTTCTTTTACTGGCCATATGTATGGTGGCACATCACTGTTTAGGTCTTGTGCTGACTGCAGATATGGCAGTATTTTACGTATTCAAAATTATAAAATCTGACACTTTCCTCTTTCTCTGTGATACTCTGTCCCTTGACATTTTTTATTCCAATATATCCTTTTTATCAATTTGTGAGATATAATTGATATACAAAAAATTGTACATATTTAATGTATATAATTTAATGAGTTTGGAGATGTGCATGTACTGATGAAACTGTCACCACAATCAAGGTAATTGATACATCCATTAGCTCCAAAGGTTTTCTTTTGCCTTTTTGTTTTATGTTTTCTTGTTGTTGTTATTGTAAGAATATGTAATGTAAGATCTACTCTCTTAACAATTGTTTAAGTGTACAACACAGTATTATTAACTATAGGCCCTATGTTGTACAGCAGATCTTTAAAACTTATGTATCTTGTATAACTGAAAGTTTATACTCATTAAACAACTTTGCATTCTCCACTTCCCTTAGTTTCTTTCTTTTTTTTTTTTTTTTTGAGATGGAGTTTCGCTATTTGTTGCCCAGGCTGGAGTGCAATGGCGCGATCTCGGCTCACTGCAACCTCCGCCTCCCAGGTTCAAGTGATTCTCCTGCCTCAGCCTCCCCAGTAGCTGGGATTATAGGCATGCGCCACCACACCCAGCTATTTTTGTGTTTTTAGTGGAGACGGGGTTTCTCCATGTTGGTCAGACTGGTCTTGAACTCCCGACCTCGGGTGATCCACCCACCTCGGCTTCCCAAAGTGCTGGGATTACAGGCGTGAGCCACCATGCCCGGCCCACTTCCCTTAGTTTCTGGTAGCCCCCGCCACTTGCTTCTTATGTCCAATAAATGACTGTTTCACTCTAGAACAATGAGAGACCAGCTGTGTACAGCAGCAAAAGTGTGCTGCACATTTCCTATTTGTAGAGCCCTGTGCTAGGTACTGGGTCAACTGAAGGGTAGAAGGCTTAGACACAAGAACATGATAAATTCAACCCTAGTGGCACACACAATAATTACCATAAACTCTATGAGGTCTGAAGCCTGAGACCATCAAGGAAGCCTATTACAAGGAGGTAAAAATTGAACTGAGGAAACACATAATTTAATTAGGCAGAGAAAACTTAGAAAAACACTCTAGGTAGAAGATCCTTTGTATGCCTGTGAGAGTCAATAGTTTTAAAGTAAAGAAACTCAAAAAGGGGAAGAATAGCCTGTAGATACCCAACGATAATTGGAACAGAGGAATTAGTGCAGGTTTGGATGTTGACTTTACTAAATTTCTCATGACATGACTTGGGACACGATGCTTATTTTATATTTCATTAACTTGGGAGATCCCAAATTTGCAAGTTTATGTTCATTTGCTACAGATGCCAAGGCCATGTGTGCCTTTTGTTTTCTTTGTCTCACTTGAAGGCATTGATAAACATTCCTGTTAAATATTTGGAAAGTCACTAAAAATATGAACTTACATACGAAAACAACACTAATGAATGTTAATGAAAGCAATGAAGAGAATCTCCAGATCTTTCACATTCATCTTTGACATAGGCTGTGAACATATGTCAAGGAGATTGAATTTCCAGGTGATAAAATATTGGTAATGTGGAAACAAATATTTCCTCTCAGTGCCTATAATAAGGAGACATTTCTTGTTCTAAAATGTGTACTACCCACAATAAAGCAGAGGTTACTAATAACATTTTCTCTTCATTTACTATCTCTTTGATTCCAGACAGTATTACACTTGCTTGTTTGTATGTGATTCATTTAATCATCAAAAGACACTCTCTCAGTTAGCTATTATCTCAATTTTATTAATGAAGAAAGTGAAACGTTGACAACATAAATAACTTTGTGCACGGCTACTCAGGAAGTCAGTGGTGATGTAGTTTACAAACGTAATGTTAGGCTCCAAAACCTGTTCTACTTCCATTAGGTTTTGCTTTCCCACAAGTAGACAACCAGCACTGATAGCACATAACGCCTTTGGTAAAACTTGGTTGCTCTTCATGAAAGGCCACTGTGAGAGGTTCCTACTTTCTGTTTTTCAATTAATTAGACTTTCAAAGGACCTCCAGGACAGTGAATGTCTTTTAACAGTTTACATTTTGGTAGAATAGCTAAGAAGCAAAGGTTACTGCTTAGGCAAAACTAGACAAAGGTAGAATCTGATGCTTTCACTAGGTTTGGTTTTGTTTGTTTGTTTGTTTTTTATAAAGCAGAATTACTTCTGTTGAAGAGCCATAACCTGGTCTCAATATGCTCAGGGACACTAGAGGAAGCAAAACAATTTCATTTATGACCTTGCTTTTGGAGACATTCGTTGACTTAAGTGACCTTTTTTTTGGTATATTGAATTTAAGTTCTAAGAGTTAATGGGATGTGGTGTGAGACATACCTTTTTCTTTTTGTATTCAAGTATTTCCCTGAGGATTTAGAAGGCTGAAGGCATGCAGCTTGAGCAAATACGCATTCACATGTGTTTCCTACTGTTACAAATATAAGTACAGAAATGAAGATCAGTTAATAATAAAAAAACTCTTTTTAATAATAAAATATTATAAGTTTTATTATTATGGTTTGTCAACAAAAAGAGACTCTGTAAAATATTTGAAGAGATTTATTCTGAGCCAAATATGAGTGACTGTGGCCCGTGACATAGGTCTCAGGAGGTCCTGAGAACATGTGCCCAAGGTAGTCAGGGCCCAGCTTGGTTTTATACATTTTAGCAGGCATGAGACATCAATCAAATACATTTAAGAAATACATTGGTTTTGTCCAGAAAGGCAGGACAACTCAAAGAGGGGAGGGAGCTGTGGGGGCGGGGGGATCTTCCAGGCCATAGGTAAATTTAAACATTTTCTGGTTGGCAATTGTTGGAATTTGTCTAAAGACCTGGAATCAATAGAAAGGAAATGTTCAGGTTAAGATAAAAGATTGTGGAGATTGAGGTTCTTTTGAATCTTATAGTGGCTGCCCTCAGAGACAATAGATGACAAGTGTTTTCTATTCAAATCTTTAAAAGGTGTTAGATTCTTAGTTAATCTCTTTAGGATTGGAAGGGTCTGGAAGAAAAAGATCTGGCTATGTTAACAGAGATTCTTTACAGATGTAAATTTTCCCACATGAAGGACAGCTTTGCAGGGCCATTTCAAGATAGGGAAAAGAAACAAGATTTGGGGTAAAATATTTTGACTTTCTTCTTTGTCACATAACGTTGAGAGACAGGACTAGCTGGATTTCCTAGGCCGACTAAGAATCCCTAAGCCTAGCTGGGAAGGTGACTGCATCCACCTTTAAACACAGGGCTTGCAACTTAGCTCACACCCAACAAATCAGAGAGCTCACTAAAATGCTAATTAGGCAAAAACAGTAGGTAAAGAAATAGCCAATCATCTATTGCCTGAGACCACAGTGGGAGGGACAAGGATCGGGATATAAACCCAGGCATTTGAGCCAGCAACGGCACCCCCCTTTGGGTCCCCTCCCTTTGTATGGGTGCTCTGTTTTCACTCTGATTCACTCTATTGAATCTTGCAACTGCACTCTTCTGGTCCGTGTTTGTTAAGGCTCAAGCTGAGCTTTCGCTTGCCGTCGACCACTGCTGTTTGCCGCTGTTGCAGACCCGCTGCTGACTCCCATCCCGCCGCTGACTCCCATCCCTCCAGATCCGGCAGGGTGTCCGCTGTGCTCCTGATCCAGTGAGACTCCCATTGCCACTCCCGATCATGCTAAGGGCTTGCCATTGTTCCTGTGCATGGCTAAGTGCCTGGGTTCGTCCTAATCGAGCTGAACACTCATCACTGGGTTCAACAGTTCTCTTCCGTGACCCACGGCTTCTAATAGAGCTATAACACTCACCGCATGGCCCAAGATTCCATTCCTTGGAATCCGTGAGGCCAAGAACCCCAGGTCAGAGAACATGAGGCTTGCCACCATCTTGGAAGCAGCCCGCCATCATCTTGGAAGTGGCTCGCCACCATCTTGGGAGCTCTGTGAGCAAGGAACCCCCCGGTAACAATGTTATGCTAGAGTCAGATTGGAAAGTAAGTCATGATATATAGGGTTAAATAAAACCCATCTGATGAGAATTTATGGTTTGTAGTGCATGGCTCTCCAGACCTCTCAGATAGGAATTTAGGCAAGATAAAAAACATCAGAGCTTAGTTCTCAGGTTGATGTTTAGAAATAAGTACTTTGTGACAACCACAAGGTAAAAGATGGAGAAAATATTTTTCCTGATACTATAGATTCATAGTCCGTAACTAGTAAGTATTGTGGTAGAGTAGAAAGGGGGGATCTATTACTGGTTTTAGGTTTGCTACTGAAAATTATTTACCAATCAAAAAAAAAATATGATTCTTACCAAGCAAAAACTCTGACTGCCACTGAAAACTTCAACTATGGAAAACTTCATAACCTATCCATGTAGTGCATTCCATTTTTTGGGTAACTGTAATCATTAGAGGGCTCTTGGAATAAATTTTCTGTCAGTACAGGGTACAGTGCATCATGACAATGGATTTCCTGTTTTACTGTATGCTTCTAGTAATGGAGTCCACATAGTAGTCCAAAAGACCTAGTGAGCCAAATCTCAACTCATATGTCAGCATTTTATGTGATACATGGAATTCAAAAAGTTTGTGGAATAATGGAATTAAAAGATAAAAATGTAAACTCTATTTCTCAACATAAGCTCCATCACGTTCAACAAGTTCAAGACACTGTTTTTTTGTTTGTTTGTTTGTTTTTTTGAGATGGAGTCTCCCTCTGTCATCCAGCCTGGAGTGCAGTGGCGTGATGTCTGCTCACTGCAACCTCCACCTCCCAGGTTCAAGCGATTCTTTAGTCTCAACCTCCCCAGTAGCTGGGATTACAGGTGCCCACCACCACGCTGGGCTTATTTTTGTATTTTTAGTAGAGATAGAGTTTCACCATGTTGGATGAGGCTGGTCTTGAACTCCTGACCTCAGGTGATCCACCCGCCTCGTCCTTCCAAAATGCTGGGATTACAGGCATGAGCCACCGCGCCCATCAAGACACTTTTGAAAGCAATAATTCTAGCCATCTAGTCCATTCCTAAAGAACTGAAGTCCTGGAAATTTAACCATGCCAATACAATCTTGCTTATAATATTAACTGATGAGAAATGAGTACCATTTAAAGATATATTAAGATTAGGAAACAAAATGAAGTCAGAAGGATCCAAATCAGGATGTTAAGGTGGATGCCTAATGATTTCCCATCAAAACTCTTGCAAAATTGTCCTTGTTTGGGCCAAGCATGGTGGCTCATGCCTATAATCCAAGTATTTTGGGAGGCTGAGGTAGGATGATTACTTGAGCCCAGCAGCTCGATACTACCCTGAGCAACATAGCAAGACCCTGTTCCTTTAAACTGGGAAAAAAACAAAACAAAACAAAAAACAGTTCTTGTTTGGTGACAGGAATGAGTAGGAGCACTGTGGTCGAGAAGGACTCTCTGGTGAAGCTTTCCAGGGTGATTTTCTGCAAAGCTTTAGCTAAGTTTAGCTAAGTTTCTCAAAACCCTTTCATAATATATAGATGTTGTCATTCTTTGGCCTTCCAAAAAGTATTCAAGCAAAATTGCTTGACCATCCCCAAAAAACTTTTGCCATGACCTTTGCTCTTGACTTGTTTCGCTTTGCCTACAACACTTCTACCACTTAGTAGCCATCGCTTTGGGTCTGCTTTGTCTTCATGATTGTACTGGTAAAGCCATATTTCATCTTTTTTACAATTCTTTGAAGAAATGCTTCAGAATCTTGATCCCACTTGTTTAAAATCTCCACTGAAAACTCCACTCTTGTTTGCAACTGATTTGAGTGTGATGGTTTTGGCACCTACTGAGTGGAAAGTTTGTTCAACTTTGATTTTTCAGTCAGAATTGCATAAGCTGAACCAACTGAGATGCTACGGTGTTGGGTATTGTTTCTGCTGTTAATCGTCAGTCCTACTCAGAGCATGAGCAAGATTAACTTTTCCTAGCAAACTTTTGTGGAGGGTCTGCTGCTGTGGGCTTCATCTTCAACAATGCCTTGCCCCATCTTTAAACAAATTATCCATTTGTAAACTGCGAATTTTTTGAGCTATTGCCACATAAACTTTTCATAAAACATCAATAATTTTACCATTCTTTTCCCTAAGCTTCAACATAAGTTTGATGTTTGTTCTTGCTTGAATTTTAGCAAAATTCATGTTGCTTTGATACCTCTTTTCGAGCTAATATCTTACACTTCTTGGTACCTCAAACTGGATCCTTGTCAGACATGAAACAAGTTAGAACAGGTTTATTTTGTTGCAAAAAATTTGAAATCCATGCATAGTTTTTTCATAATATACATCATTGTTCATAAACTTTTTGAAGAGACACTGCCCAGTTAACATTTTGAATATATTTTGTGGCAAAGTACATACAAATTAAGAGGAAATATCAATTTGCATCCTAAAAAAATCAAACTTATGTTTTGAATCTTTACACTTGTCAAAGAAGAATTTCAGCTAGCTAAGAAAATTAGCTTATAATATATGCTATTTCAACAATGTTAAATAAAACATCTAGATTTATTGATATTTTAAAACGAGACTAATGTTTCCACCTCGTTACTTC
Organism: Homo sapiens; assembly: GCF_000001405.40. NCBI lineage: Eukaryota > Metazoa > Chordata > Mammalia > Primates > Hominidae > Homo > Homo sapiens. Next base: position 147,023,922 of record NC_000023.11, read on the forward strand.
AAATAGAAGAATAAAAGACAGAAAATTTAACAATCTTATGGTCTTTGCCATTGCTCATTTGTTGAGTTTTGGATGCATTTTTCAAAGATTTACTGTACCATTAACTTTCATTCAAGATTTTCTTAAAACAAAAAAGAATACTTGCCAAATATTTAATAATTTTGTGTTTTACATTTCCTCACTGATATGCCATATCTTGATGAGCTAAAACTGAAGCTTCAAAAAAGAAAAAGCTTCAGACCTAGCTAGAAAGGTGCAAAAATTTATATGAAAATTGAAGCTTTTCATAATGTATATCAGCAATAATGGAATCACACATTTTCCCATTATGAATCAAATGTGGAGGGTATTAATTTTAATTGACATCCCAGAAACTGTGAGCCTGTTTGGCAATGTGGATATCAATATTAAAGGAAAATGGTTTTTGGTGCCTGTTTTAATTATTAGACAATATTTAAGTATGTCTGAGATAATTTGAACATATAAATCTAATTTTTCAATGGTAAATTGTACAAAATCTAAATGAAGATCAAGCATTCCTGAGGAAAATGGGCACCCAATTTGAGTTATGCTATAGGTGTAATATATATACCAGAGTTTGGAGACTTAGTGCAAAAAATGTAAAGCTTGTCATAAATATTTTCTATTGATTACATCTTGAAATAAAAATATGTTAGATATGTTGGGTTAAATTAAATGGTATCTTTAAAAATTGGATTTTTTAAATTTGACTTTTTATTTGAGATAACTGTAGATTTACACAAGCAGTAAGAAATAATAATGAAATATTTCACGTACACTTTACCTAAGTTTCCACAATAGTAACATCTTGCAAAATTATAGTATAATATCACAACTAGAATAGTGATATTGATAAAGTCAGGAAGCAGAACACTTTCATCATCCTTCGTAGAAACATCTACTTCCATCTTGCCCTCACTTCCTTATTAAACCCTGGTAACCACTTATCAGTTCTTCTTGTATATAATTTTCTCATTTGAAGAATGTTATATAAATGAAATCATACAGTATAAAAACTTTTGTTATTGGCATTGGCATTTTTTCACCCAGAATATTTATCTAGATATCAGTAGTTTTTCTTTCTTTTCTTTTCTTTTCCCCTTTCCTTTCCTTTCTCTTTTCCTTTCTCCTTTCCTTTCCTTTCCTTTTTCTTTCTTTTTTCTTTCTTCTTTCTCTCTCTTCTTTCTTTCCCTCCCTCCCTCCCTTCCTTTCTTCCTTCCTTCCTTCCTTCCTTCCTTCCTTCCTTCCTTCCTTCCTTCCTTTTCTTTCCTGCTGAGTAGTGCTCAATGGTATAGTGTATATTTAAATATTCACCTATTAAGGGAAATCTGGGTTGTTTCCAGTTTTTGACTATCATGAATGTATCTGTTATAAACATTTATGTAGAGCTTTTTCAGTGAACATGAATTCATTACTCTGTGATAAGTGCTCAAGAGTACATTACTGAGTTGTATGATTTGTATATCTTTAGTTGTTTTTTTTGTTTTGTTTTGTTTTTTTTAAAAACCTGACAAACTGTTTTCCAGAGTGGTCATACCATTTTACATTTCCACCAGCAATATATGTTTCCCAAGATCCATGCCAATATTTGGTGTTGTTGATAAGAGAGTTGTCACTGGGCCGGGCGTGGTGGCTCACGCCTGTAATTCCAGCACTTTGGGAGGCCGAGGCGGGCGGATCACAAGGTCAGGAGATGGAGACCATCCTGGCTAACACGGTGAAAACCCGTCTCTACTAAAAATACAAAATATTAGCCGGGCATGGCGGCGGGCGCCTGTAGTCCCAGCTACTCTGGAGGCTGAGGCAGGAGAATGGCGTGAACCTGGGAGGCAGAGCTTGCAGTGAGCCGAGATCGCGCCACTGCACTCCAGCCTGGGAGACAGAGCGAGACTCCGTCTCAAAAAAAAAAAAAAAAAAAAAGGGAGTTGTCACTATTTTTTATTCTAGCCATTCTGATAAAGGTGCAGTATGTATCTTATTTTATGGTTTTCATTTGAATTTTCCTTATAATTATATCAAACACCTTTACATGTGCTTATATGCCATTTATATATCTTCTTCTGTGAAATATTTCCACATATCTTTTGCCTTTGTTCTAAGTGTTTCTGCTCCTTTTTTCCTAGTGTTGAATTTTGAAGTTCTTTATACAGCTTATATATAGCTTTATATATAGCTTATACATTTAGTCTTTTGACAGGTCTTTCTCAGAGCACAATTTTTAGATTTTGACAAAGTCAAATTTATCATTTTTAAAAATTTTATAAATTATAATTTTGGTGTCAAATCTAAAAACATTCTGGCTAATCCTAGGTACCAAAGATTTTCTCCTGTTTCTTCTAAAAGTTGTTGCATTTAAGCCTGTTATTCAGTTTGAATTAATTTTGTTGAAGGCCTAAGACTTAGGCCTAGATTGTTTTTCTTTTATTTGCCTGTGGGTGTCCAATTATTTCAACACTATTTGTTGAAAGGCTATATTTCCCTCCAATGAATTACTTTTATACCTTTAAAAAATTAGTTGGACATATTTGTGTACATGTATTTTTGAGTTCTTAATTATTTTCCATTGATCTATGTGCTCATTTCTCCACAGATAACCACACACTCTTGATTACTGTAGCTATATTATGTCTTAAAATCTTCCTTTCTGATTTATATGTTTTATTGCCTTATTGTAGTAACTGGAACTCCTAGTACTGTTTAACTAAAAATACTGGGAGTGAATGTCCTTGCCTTGTTTCCAGTCTTAGTGGGGAAAGTATCAGGTCTTTCACTATGAAGTTTAATGTTAGCTGCATGTTTTTCATAGATGTCCCTTATCATGTTGGAGAAGTTCCCATGTATTTCGATATTTCTGAATGTTTTATTAAAAATATTAAACTGTGCCAAATAAGTTTTCCACATCAAATAATATGATCCAGTGATTTTCTTTTTACTAGACTGCTAATATGGTGGATTACATTGACTGATTTTCAAATATTGATTCATCCTTGAATGCCTGGAACAAATCCCACATGGCATGGTGAATAATTATCATTTTTATTTTGCTAGTATTTTGCTAAGGATTTTTCCATCTATAACCATGAAATATATTGGTATGTAATTTTTTTGGTGCAGTCTTTAGCTTGCTTTTATATCAGAGTAATAATACTTTCATAAAATGAATTAGAACATGTTCTGTCTTCTCTTCTTTGCAACATATTATGTAGAATTGACGTCAGTTTCTTTTAAATGTTTGTTAGAATTCTCAAACAAAAATATCTGAACTTAGAGATATTTCATTTTGGATTTTTTTGAATTTTAAATTTAATTCCCTTAATAGTTTTAGAACAATTTAAATGATCTATTTTATATCAGTGAGTTTGGATAGTTTGCATTTTTTTTTGAGGATGGTGTGCAGTTTTTCTAAGTTGTTAATTGTGTGTATATGGAATTATATGTAGGATTCCCTCATATATTTTAGATGTCTTTAGAGTCTATAGTGCTATTCCCTATTCCATTTTTTACATTGGCAATTTATGTCTTCCTTTTTTCTTTCTTTCTCATTCTTGCTAGAAATTTGTCCACTGTATTGCAGTTTTCAAAGACCAGTTCTTAGTTTCATTGATTTTCACTGCAATTTTTGTTTCAATTTTATTGATTTCCACTGTAATCTTTACCTTCCTTATGTTTGCTTTAGGTTTATTTTGTTCTTCTTTTTTAAGTTTTTTTGCGGGGGAGGGTGGGGGGAGCTTACATTAATGATTTGAGATTTTAATTATTTTTTTAATGCATGCATTTAGTACTGTAAATTTATCATCTGCATTGCTTTCACTACGATCTCATTGTTTTTTCTCTTTTTACATCAATAAAAAGTTCCAATACTCCCTCTCTCACTCTATACACATTTCCCCTATTATTAACATTTTACATTAGTGAAATGCACTTGTCACAGTTGATGAACCGACATTGACACATGATTATAACTCAAAGTTCACAAAGTCCCCATTAAGGTTTGCTCTTGGTGTTGAACAGTCCTAAGATTTTTACAAATAAATGATGTCATGTATTTAGCATTACAGTATTATTCAGAATAGTTTCACTGCCCTAAAAATCCCTTGTTCCCCACCTATTCTTCCCTTCCTTTCCCTACAAGCCTGGAACCCATTGCTATTTTTACAGTCTTCATAGTTTTCCTCTTTCCAGAATGTCAAATTATTGGAATCATCCAGTACATAGTCTTTTCAGATTGGGTTCTTTTACTTAGTAATATGTGTTTATAATATCTCCATGTCTTCTTATGGCTTGATAACCTGTTTATTTTTTGTGCTGAATAATATTTTATTGCATGGACGGTACCAGTTTATTTATTATTTCACTTATTGAAGGACATCTTGATTGTTTTCAATTTTGACAACTGAATAAAACTGCTATAAACATCCAAGTGCTGGTTTTTGTGTGAAGATAAGTTTTAATCATATTTGGGTAAATAACAAGAAGTATGAATGTTGAATCATATGGTAAGATTAAATTTAAAGAGATTATAGATATTGCTGGATTAATATCAACCATTTTTGTATCTGTTTTCTATTTGTTCCTCTTATTCTTTTTTTCCTTGTTGTCTTCCATTTCTTTGCCTTTTCTGGTTTTGAGTATTTCATATGATTCTATTTTTTCTCACATTTTAACATATAAAGTATACTTTTAAAAAACTTTTTAAGAGGTTGCCGTAGTTTGCATTATACAAATCAAAGTCCACTTTCAAATAACTGTATACTGCTTCAAGTGTAGTGTGAGTACCTTATGACAGAATATTATGAATTTCATCCTTCTGTCTTTTGTAACATTACTGTCATTAATTACTCTCAACCATATGGCAAAATTACCCAATATATTCTTGCTATTATGTTGAATATACTGTCATCTATTAGATCAGTAAGACAAAAAAATGAAAAGTTTTATCTCCATTTATTCTTCATCTAATGCTCTACCTTTCTTTATGTGCATCTGAGTTTCTGACCGCTATTATTTCCCTTCTCTCTGAAGAACTTCTTTTGATATTTCTTCCAAGTCAGGTCTACTAGTGGCAAATCCCCTGCTTTTGTTTGATAAAGTCTTCGTTTCATTTTCGTTGTCAAAGGTTCACTGGATACAGAATGCTAGGTTAATCGGGTTTTTCTTTCATGACTTTAAATGTTTCCCTCTTCCCTCTTATTGCTTCGGTGGTTTCTGAAGAGAAGTCTGATATAATTCTTATCATTTTTACTTTATTATGTAGTGTTCCCCCTCTACCTGACTTCTTTCAAAAAACTTTATTAGTATATTTCCTTGGTCTTTTGCGGTTTGAATATAATACGCCTAACTGTATAATTTTTTGGCATTTATTTTGCCTGGTATTATCTGAGCTTACTGACTCTGTGGCTTGGTGTCTGTCAATAATTTTGTAAAATTCTCAGTCATTATTGCTTCAAATATTTAAATATTTCTTCTCTTTCTTTCCTTTTTTTCCTTGTGATATTCACATTATGCGTATGTTACCCTTTCTGTTGGTTTCCAATTTGTTCACCTTTTTTTCATGTATTGTGGATGGAAGTAATGACTTTGAAGTGCCTTACATGCTGGGCCAGAAATCCTGACTTTTAAAAAATGTGCAGACATTAAAGTTTAGTCTTTGTGCTGTAACATTCTATGAGTTTTGACAAGAATGTGTGTCATGAATTCACTACTACAATATCATACAGAATAGTTCCTTTGCCCTAACAAAATCTCTTTTGCTTCACCTACTCAACATTTAAACACCCTCTAAATCCTTGAAAAATCCTGATCTTTTTTATAGTCTTTGTATTTTTACCTTTTCTAAAATGTTATATAATTGGAATAACAAAGCATGTTGCCTTTTCAGTCATGTTTCTTTCACTTAGCACTATGCCTTTGAGATCCATCCATGTCTTTTTTGTTTCAAAGCTATTTTCTTTGTATCACTGAATAACTTTCCATTGTATGGATGTACCATAGTTGGTTTATCCATTCTCTTATTAAAGGACATCTTGGTTGCTTCAAATTTTTTGCCATTATGAATAAAGGTACTATAAACATTCATATACAAATGTTTGTATAAGCATAAGTTTTCAAATTAGTTGGGTAAATACCTAAAATCACAATTGCTCTTTTGCCTGATAAACTATGATTAGCTTTGTAAGAACCTAAAAGTTGTGGTCAGAATGGTTGTACTAGTTTGCATTCTCTCCATAATGAATGAGAGTTCTGGTTGCTTCACATCCTCACCAGCAACTGTTATTGTTCAGGTTTTTATTTTAACGCTTCTAATAATGGTTAGTGGTAACTTGTTTTGTTTTGCAATTTCATAGTGACATATAATGTTGAGTATCTTAATATGCTTATTTACCATCTGTGTACATCTATATATATTTTTTGATAAGCTGTCTGTTCAGGTCATTTACCCTTTTCTTAATTAGGTTTATTTTCTTGTTTCTAAATTTTAAGAGTTTTTTTGTGTGTTTTGCATACAAGTCTTTTTTCAGATATTTGTTTTGTAAACATCTTATTCCAGTTTGGGGCTTGAAAGTTTTATTTTTTTAATTTTGATGAAGCTAAACATCAATTTTTTTCATTTATGGATTGTGTTTTTGTGTTATATCTTAAAAACTCATTGCTAAGCTCAAGGCCATCCAGATTTCTCCTCTGTTTTCTACTAGAACGGTTATACTTTTGAATTTTACATTTACATTTATAATTCAGTTTGAGTTATCTTTGTGAAAACCGTGAGCTGTGTGTATAGGTTTTCTTTCTTTATGTGGACATCCAGTTGTTCCAGAACCCTTTGCTTAAAAAATTATTATTTCTCTATTAAATTGACTTGACTTTGATACTTTGTTCAACAGGATATTAATTATTCCAAAAATGCACTTTGGCAATGATCTGGCATGACTTCTCTGGAATCTTGGCATCATCCTCATGAAGTTCATTCCCACAGAGGTCAAAACTAGAGAACTTGATTAAAATTTGTCAGGCTAGTTCATGGCTGTGATTCATGCTTTACTGAGGACTTTTTCAACAACAAAAAACAAGATCATTGAATTACAATTGACATGAAGTATATTACTTTCCTTGAATTTTTTTCTAAATGTTAATGTTGCCCCGTGAGTGATTTTTGCTATAGGTATGGTTTGAAACTTAGAATTAATCAGCAAAATTGGGCCAGGCATGGTGGCTCACGCCTGTAATCCCAGCAATTTAGGAGGCTGAGGCCGGTGGATCACCTGAGATTGGGAGTTTGAGAACAGTCTGACCAACGTGGAGAAACCCCATCTCTACTAAAAATACAAAATTAGCTGGGCATGGTGGCGCATGCCTGTAATCCCAGCTACTCCAGAAGGTGAGGCAGGAGAATCTCTTGAACCCGGGAGGCGGAGGTTGCGGTGAGCCGAGATCGCACCATTGCATTCTGGCCTGGGCAACAGGAGTGAAACTCCGTCTCAAAATAATAATAATAATAATAATAGTAATTAGCAAAATCAAGTGTTAAATATGTTTTGACTTAACATGTCCTAGAAAGCCAAACTAAATCTTAGCTGGATAAATAGAATGGACATAGAAACCCATTTTTATTATCTTCTAGGTTCATTTTTCCCTCTCAGTTTTGTATTTGTTGTAAAATTTACAGTTGGAAACCCTTAAAACCTTGAAAACATGATATAAATGACAATAACATTGCCATTATTAAATCCGTTTGGATTTTTTTTCTTTTTATATACTGTCTCTTCTTTAACAAGAGTTGTCCTATTAGTGGAATTTACAAATAGATTCAGTATAGGTAATTATGATTTCAGTGAAAATGCTCTTATGTGGAAATTGGTTAGTATTCTTATCAGTTTTACTTTATTATGTAGTGTTCCCCCTCTACCTGACTTCTTTCAAAAAACTTTATTAGTATATTTCCTTGGTCTTTTGCGGTTTGAATATAATACTTTAACTATCTCCTTTTTGAATTCCACCATCCTGCCTTCACAGTGTTTTTATCTAAAATTCTTAAGAGTTTTAAAAAAGATTGCATCAACTTACAGCCCATCATACATATTGAAAAGAAAATTATTTTAAGGAATGTGCTCAAATGATCCTTTTCTTTTTAACTTCTAGATCTTGGTTTATATCTCCAAGAAACCTGGGAAAAGAACAGTAGCAATGTTTCATCCCCACTTCTTAGCAGGTTATCTAATAATTTGCCTATTCATGCAATGGTGACTCATAAAACCACTGCCTTCTACCACTAGATGGTTTTCCATTTCTAAATAAATAATAAATAAATAAATAAATAAATAAAAAACACACAAAAAGCTCTTACTTTTATGGATGCTGTGGGAAACACAAAACAATGCTTAAATAATGAAAAATATAACTTACTTATAGGTTCTCAGTAATATGAGAGAAGAAATGCCATATAACCATAATACAGATGATCCCCATTTAAACAGATTAATGGAAGAGAGAGAAGTGAACTCTTAAAGGATGTAATTAGAATATATCAAATGTTTCTTTGGAACATGATTTTGAATTTAAAATTTCAATTGGTGAATTGAAAAGAAGATAAATATTGAAGACTGAAGTTAATTAGTGGACTAAAAAATCAAGGAAAGTCTCAAAATAGAACAAAAACACACAAATAAATCACTAAAAGAAAAATAGGAAACTTAAAGGACAGATCTAGGGAAATAATTTCAGGAGAAGAAACTCAATCATATGAAAGAAATATATTTAGCAAAAAAGAGAAGACATTTAGCTTCACCTAAAGACTTGAGTCTGGGAACATAAGGGTCTTGCTATGGTCTGAATGTGTCTTCACAAAATTTGTATATTGAAAGTTAATTACCAATATGATAGGATTAGGAGGTAGGGCCCTTAAGAGGTTATTAAGTCATAAAAGCTGAGCCCTTATGAATAGTATTAGTGCCCCTACAAAATAAGTTGCAGGGAGGTGCCTTGTCTTTCTGTTCTCTCTTCTTTGATGAAGCAAGCTACAGTAAGTTATCCAGAAGAAACAGCTAAGATAAATGATAAGGGTGACTACACCAAAAAACAGATTCTCAATGTAGACAAAATAGTATTCTTTAGGAAGAACATGCCATCTAGGTCTTTTATAATTAGAGAGAAGACTTCAATGCTTGGCTTCAAATGAGCAAAGGGCAGGCTGACCCTTTTGTTAGAGGCTAGCACAGCTGGTGACTTTCAGTAGAAGCCAGTGCTCATTTACCATTCCAAAAATCCTAGGGCCCTTAAGAATTATGCTGAATTGTGACGCTGCCTGTGCTCTATAAATAGAAGAGCAAAGCCCGAATGAGAGCACATCTGTTTACAGCATGGTTTACTGAATATTTTAAGCCTACTCTTGAGATCTACTGCTCAGAAAAAAAGATTCCTTTTAAAATATTACTGCTTATTGACAATGCACCTAGTCATCCAAGAACTCTGATGAAGATGTACAAAAACAATGTGGCCCATGAATCAAGGAGTAATTTCAACATTCAATACATATTATTTAAGAGGTACATTTTGGGCCAAGTGTGGTGGCTCACACCTATAATCCCAACACTTTGGGAGGCTGAGGCAGACAGATTGCTTGAGCTCAGGAGTTCGAAGCCAGCCTGTGCAACATGGCAAATCCCCATCTCTATAAAAAACAGAAAAATTAACCAGTCCTGTGGTCTCAACTACTCAAGAGGCTGAAGGGGGGAGGATCACTTTAGCCCTAGAACCAGAGGTTGCAGTGAGCCAAAATCACACCACTGCACTCAGCCTGTGTGACAGAGCAAGACCCTGTCTCAAAAAAAAAAACAAAAAACAAAAAACAAAAACAAAACAGACATTTCATAAGGCTATAGCTGACATAGATAGTGATTCCTCTGATGTATCTGGACAAAGTCAAGTGAAAGCCTCTGGAAAGGATTCACCATTCTAGGTGCCATTAAGAACGTGAGATTCATAGGAGGAGTCAAAATATCAATATTAACAGGAGTTTGGAAGAAGATAATTCCAACCCTCATGGATGAATTTTGAGATTTTTAAGAATTCAGACCCTTGTCTCTACCAAATATACAAAATTTAGGCAGGCGTTGTGGCATGCACCTGGTTATTCTTTATACCACTCTTTATAATTACTTTAGAAATACTTCTTGTGGCTGCTTTGGAACTTACAATATGCATATTTGTTTACAGAATTTCATCACTGAAAAAAATTTTTTTGCTTTATTTTTGTCTGAGTTGATTCAAAGAATCTATTTTGAGCTCTGAGATTCTTTTTTCAGCTTTGTCTATTATGCTGTTAATACTTCTGATTTTATTATATAATTATTGCAGTGAATTTTTCAGCTCCAGAATTTCAGTTTGATTTTTTTCTTAAAATGGCCATTTTGTCTTTCAGCTCTTGGATTCTTTTTCTGGATTCTTTCGATTCCTTGGTTTGAGGTTCAAATTTCTGCTGAATCTTAATGAGCTTTCTTGCCATCTAGACTGAATTCTATGTCTGTCATTTCAATCACTTCAGACTGGTTAAGAAACATTGCTGGGAAGCTAGTGGACTTCTTTCGAGATAAGAGGACACTTTGGCTTTTACATTGCCAGAGTTCTTGTGCTGATTCTTTCTCATCTTTAAGGGTTGGTGTTCCTTTAACTGTGATGTAAGTTTAGTATAGTAAGTTGGCTTTATTTCTGGATTTTTTCAGAGGGCTAAGGCTCTGTGCAGGGTCTTTATTTTTTGGTGTTTTAGTTTGGGCTGCAATCCAGTAGATTGTGCTTAAGAGTAGAGGCCAGTGGGTAGCCTCTTACTCAGCTCTGTCTCCTTTGTATTTCCTTGCATTTATAGCCGTGCTCCATGCTGTGGTAAGGAGAGAGGTGACTGGCTCACCACGTTCACTCCTGGGTCTCAGGAGAGCCCCCTTCCATCATGAGCACTGTGCTTTTATATCTTTTGTTAAGTATCCTGAGCCACAGTTAATCCTCAGGAAGAAGACTCAGTAGGGAGATAGGCCACAGCCTTTCTGGGCTGACCCTGAGGAGGGAGACATGCCTCGTTCCCACATCAGCCCACAAACCCACATGCCTCACCCCTTTCAGTGCTCAGGGAATGTGGGCTCCTCCCCTGCTTAAATGCTGGCCACCAGTCTTGGCTGGGTAGTCCTGAAACTCAGAGTCAAGTTCTGGGTGTGCTGGGAGATCCAAGGTGCTCCCAGTGAAATTGAGTGGAACAAAGCCCCCAAGCTGGGCAGTGGAGGCTGCACTGTGCAAATACTTCTGCAGTGTATCTAAGAAGAGGCCCTGGTAGAGGCTGGTGTACAGGACTGTTTGCAAAACAGACATGCCCCAGGCCCTCTGGGAAGTTCACTCTGGTTTCTCCTGGCCTGATGGTTAGCTGCAGCTACAGCTTCTGAGAGGAAGATGTGGAGTCCCGGGGGACGCGTGTCAATGGCTGTGCTCTGCGAGAGTTGCCTCAGGCACAAAAGCCCCTGGCTGCACACTAGATGAAGCCCTCTCTCTGCCTACTCCCTAGGCAGTCCTCCTGCCAGCTCAAATGTCCATGGAGGATGTGGGGTCCCCTGTAGCTAGGAACCCAAAGGTCCATGAGGAGAGTGGGCAGTCCCACAGTTCCTTCACTCACACCTTTCCCAGGAGCTGTTTGGGGCTGGGAAGTAGCCCTAGCATTCAAATACTCAACACAGGGTTATGTGATTACTCTTTCTTACTCTTTAGCCTCAGTGTCTGCATCATGTCTCTACCCACTCTCAGTATTTTCTTTCCAGTGATTTATGGAAATTATATTGGTTTATTTGAAATTTTTGTCTCAGTGGGAACAGCACTTCCTGGCTATGTTTAGTTGGATACCTTGTCCTGCTCCTTTTTTCATTTTTTACTAAAAAAATGTTTTAGTGTAGAGAACAATGAGCCAGCTGTAGGTGATAGCACTCAAGTTAGGAGGTTTGAATGTTCTTTATAATGTTGGATTACTTGATAGGGATATTATATTTAGTCCCATTCCAGTCTGTAAGACTTTGTTGTTTAGCAACATAATTTAAGCAAATTTTAGGCAAATTTTTATCAGTATTTTTATCAAAATTCTGTAATTTTGTTTTATGAATGTAATTTTTATGCTTTTTTATTTCAAAAATTTTGATTTTTTAACTTTTAATTTTTATAAGTACATAGTATGTGCACATATTAATGGGGTACACAAGATACTCTGAAACAGGCAAGCAATGCATAATAATTACATTAAGGAAAATGGGGTATCCATTTCCTCAATCATTTATCCCTTGTGTTGTAAATAATTTAATTGTACTATCTTAGTTATTTAAAACTGTACACCTAAATAATTATTCACTATAGTTACCTTGTTCTGCTATCATATGGTAGGTCTTATTCTTTCTAATTATTTTTATTTTGTACCCACTAACCACCTCCGCTTCCATGCTAGCCCCTCAAAACCCTTCCAACCTCTGGTAACCACCCTTCTGCTCTCTATCTCCATGACGTAAATGGTTTTGATCTTTAGCTCTCAGAAATAAGTGAGAACATATGATGCTTATCTTTCTGTCCCTGGCTTATTTCACTTAACATAATGACTTGCAGTTCTCTCCATGTTGAAAAATAACAGAATCTCAATCTTTTGAATGGCTGCATGGTACTCCATTGTGTATATGCATCAAATTCTCTTTATCCATTCGTTTATTTTTGGGCACCCAGATTGCTATCAAATCTTGCCTATTGTGAGCAGTGTTGCAACAAACATGGGAGTACTGATATCTTTTCAATATATTAATTTCCATCCTTTTGAGTATATACCCAGCAATGGGATTGCTGGATCATACGGTAGCTCTATGTTTAGTTTTTTGAAGAACCTCCAAACTATTATCCATAGTGGTTGTAGTAATTTACATTTTTCACCAATAGTATATGAGAGTGCCCTTTTCTCCACATCCTCTCCAGTACTGTTACTGCCTGTCTTTTTTTTTTTTTTTTTTTTTTTGAGACAGACTTTCGCTTTTGTTGCCCAGGCTGGAGTGCAATGGCATGGTCTCGGCTCTCTGCAACCACCACCTCCTGGGTTCAAGCGATTCTCTTTCCTCAGCCTCCCAAGTATCTGGGATTACAGGTGCCCACCACCATGCCCAGCTAAATTGTGTATGTTTAGTAGAGATGGGGTTTCACCATGTTGGCCAGGCTGGTCTCGAACTCCTGACCTCAGGTGATCCACCCATCTCAGACTCCCAAAGTGCTGGGATTACAGGCGTGAGCCACTGCGCTTGGCCCTGTCCTTTGCATATAAGCCATTTTAACTGGGCTAGGGTGACATCTCGTTGTAATTTAGTTTACATTTCTCTGATGATCCATGAATTTAAGCACCTTTTCATATGCCTGTTTGCCACAGGAATGTCTTCTTTTGAGAAATGTCTATGAACATCTTTTGCCCATTTTTCATCAGATTATTAGATTTTTTATAGAGTGGTTTGAGCTTGTTATAGATCTTGGTTATTACTCCTTTGTTTGATGGGTACTTTGTAAATATTTTCTCCAGTTCTGTGGATTGTCTCATCACTAGCTGATAGTTCCCTTTGCTGTGGAGAAGTTTTTTAACTTGATGTGATTCTACTTGTTCATTTTTGCTTTAGTTGCCTGTTCGTCTGGGATATCAGTCAAGAAATTTTTGCCCAGACCAATGTCCTGGAGATTTTCCCCAATGTTTTCGTGCAGTAGTTTCATGGTTTTAAGTCTTATATTTAAGCCTTTAATACATTTTGTTTTGATTTTTGTATATGGTGAGAGGTGTGAGTCTAGTTTCATTTCTTCTGCATGTGGATATACAGTTTTCCCAACAGCATTTATTGAAGAAATTGCCTATTTCCCAGTATATGTCTTTGGCATATTTGTTGCAAATTAGTTCTCTGCAGGCATATGAATTTGTTTCAGGGTTGTCTGTTCTGTTCCATTGGCCTATAGTACCATACCGTGTTGTTGTGTTTACAATAGTTCTGTAGTATAATTTGAAATCAAGTAATGTGATTCTGACAGTTTATTTGTTTTCATTTTTGTTTATTATTCCCAGAATAGCTTTGGTTATTTTGGGTCTGCTGTAATTCCATATAAATGTTAGGATTTTTTAATATTTCTGTGAAGAATGTCATACGTATTTTAATAAGGATTGCATTGAATCTGTAGATTACTGGGGGTAGTATGAACATTTCAACAATATAGATTTGGATGCCCTTTATTTATTTTGTCTGATTGCTCTAGCTAGGACTTTCTGTAAAATGTTGAATAACACTGGTGATGGTGGGCATCCTTGTCATGTTCCAAATCTTAGAGAAAAAGGTTTCAGTTTTTCCTCATTCAGTATGATATTAGCTGTGGGTCTATGATGTATGTCTTTTATTATGATGATGTGTGTTTCTTCTATAATCAGTTTTTGAGGGTCTTTATCATGAATGTATGTTGAATTATATCACATGCTATCAATTGAAATGATCATATGATGAGAAGAATGTATATTCTAACGTTTTGGGTGGAGAGTTCTGTAGATATCTATGTTTATTTAACGCAGTGCAGAGTTCAAGTCCCAAATATCTTTGCTTACACAGAATTTAATGGCAAAATATTTCTTGGCAGACAAGAGTAGTCATGCAAGTTAGAATAATCAGGATCAGAAATTTGGAAAAGTTTGACAACAACCTGTTATTAATCATTGCATGTTGAAGGAAATCCAAATAAATTATGAAGAACGTAAGCAACATAGAAGAATTAGTTTCCTACTTCAGTAGTACAAGTTTCTTTAAATAGGTTGCTGCATTCACAATTTCTGTTTTCTGTGGAAAATGTTTAATTGTATATTTTAGGTATGTGACTCACTTTCTGTGTTCCTCAATTGGCTATAAATGACAATATTTAAAATGTATTCATTATTTCAATTAACATTTCTGTTATACGTTTATATTATGAATTATGTTTCTCCAATTTTAAGTATAATGTACATGCATTTAATTTTTTACATGTATTTTAATAACTAAGTAGCTAAAACTGTCTTTTCAATACTTTCGAGTATATACAAAACATAATTACCACCAATATCTCTTTGATTTACAGTAGCCTAATTTTCAGTTATCTCTATTTTCATGATAATAACATCCAGGTCCAAACTTGTTACAATGCCATCTTTAATCTTTGATAGAGTATCTGTGTATAAGAAACAATTATTTTTTAAAAGTATGATTGTATCCACAATCTAAGTGTGCCCTCCCTCCCACACACACACAAAAGCCTAAGGAAGGACTCAAAGCAAAGCTCGTTTCTCCAGCATCACTCTTACATATAAGATTTTTTTTTAATCAATCCAACACTGACATTGGGTTTAGAATACTAAGAATAATGATATTAAAGAAAATTTTCAGTGTTGAAAATGAATTGCAATACATTATTGCTTATATAATTTAATCAGCCTTTCTGGTCTTAGCAACTTTGCTGAAAAAAAAAACTGGTAATGTTGTTGTAATACTAGTTAAAAAGCTGTTATAATTAACCAAGTGATGGGTGATTTTGGTAGCAGTAGCAATAATTGAGAAATGGGAATCTGTAAAAGTTTTGAAATCAGATCCAACAGGATTTGCTGTCAGTTTGAATTTGTGGTGTGAGTTATTCACCTTATTTGACACACTTATGATCATAAATAGGAATAGAACCAATAATAGTTTATCTGTGATAGGGTTATTTTTATGATTATGAGAGCTAGTACACTTAAAATGTTTCATATAATGATTGTAACATAGTGAGTGATCAACTAAAGTTATTGATGTTCTAAAAGACTTTAAAAAGGAAACTTATGGACGCAAAGACGGCAGTTTCATAAAATTCAATTCAATTCAATTATTTAACCATCAAGAAGGCCAGAATTTATTTTGACTTTGTAGCTATGATGCGGGTAAAATAAAATATCTGAACCTTTTCTTCAGTCTTTCCTTTTGCTTTGTCGGTGAGGCTTCATTCATGCTAAAAAAAAAAAAATGCCATTTTACAACAGTGACATTTTGAGGTCAAGATTATTTCTTTGCTTTAGTAATAGTGGCCTGAACTAGGGAGTGAAATTTCAAATATCTGGCTCATCGCTAAGATGTTTTTATTTTATATACTTAAGTGGCAGAACGCCACTAACAAGTTTCCCTTCCTGATTCCATTTAAAGAGACTTGAGGATAATAGAAGTGTGTACATCAGTACTAGTCATAAAAATAAGGTACTTTCTATGCATGATATGTACTTTTATATGCTTACTTTTCCCCATCAGTGCTAATAAAGTATTGCAGTTATGTGTAAACAGCCACATCTTTCTCTATTACTTCAGCCTCATTCATTTGGTGACATTGTAAAGTTTCATAATAGTCTGTCAAATCACTTTTTCTTGCATGCATGTTCTTGTTTAAAAGTTCCCAAAGGCCCATAAAAGCTACATATTCTCAATATGTTTCACAGATACATAAAATATAAAAATTCAGTCCTTGGCAATTGTCTGCAGTTTCACTGCACCATTCTTATTGATGCCTTTGTTAAAAACCTCTTGTGATAAGACACATAAAAACCAAGTGATAAGACACATAATAAAATCCGACTTAGATTGTTCCACAAGAAATGAGCTTGAGTCTCTCATTCAGTAGTCCTTGATTTCCACCTAGCTTTCTGCTATCCTTTACTGACCACAGGCAACATGAGCCTACCTTGAAAACAAATTAATCCTTCGTATACTGGAAGCAATTGCCCAGGATAAGCCTCAGTGCTGCCTGGGCTTGTTGGTAGTGTGCATATGGATATCCATGTGCATTTTGGGTGGGAGAATAATATTATTTCAAGGAAGAAGGGGAGAGGTTACTTTATAATATTCAGTAATGAACAACATAACCTGTTCTTACACTTGAACCCTCTGAAAATTCATAGGCAACATTATGCTTTAGAAGACAATCAATGTTTACTTAGTACAGTTTCCGAAAGCTTCACATAGAAAATAAAGAAGAAATTTAAGGTAGAAATGAAAAGAATGTCTATTGACAATATGAATTATTCTCTTTATCAAAAATAATTTGTACAAGAGTGCAAAAGTATAAAAGTCTCAACAAATATAATGCTGAATAGGCACACACATTTGCAAAACAAAAATCTCAAAAAGCAACATGGGAATGAAGATAATGTAGCACTGAATTATAAATTATGAAGAAAATGCATTTTGAAATTGCTATGGTTTGGCTCTGTGTCCCCACCTAAATCTCATCTCAAATTGTAATCCTCACATGTCGAGGAAGGGAAGTCATTAGACTATGGGGATGTTTTCCCCCCGTGCTGTTCTTATGACAGTGACTGAATCCTCATGAGATCTGATGGTTTTATAAATGCTAGTTTTTCCTGAATGCTCACACTCTCTCCTGCTGCCTTGTGAAGAAGGTGCCTGCTTCCCTTTTGCCTTCCACCATGATTGTTAAGTTTCCTGAGGCCTCTCCAGCAATGCAGAAATGTGAGTCAATTAGACCTCTTTCCTTTATAAATTACCCAGTCTCAGGGAAGCTCTTTATAGCAGTGGGAAACAGACTAATACAGTAAATTGGTACTGGGAGTGGGGCACTGCTATAAAGGTAACCTGAAAATGTGTAAGTAACTTTGGAACTGGGTAACAGGCAGAGGTTGGAACAGTTTGCAGGGCTCAAAAGAAGGCAGGAAGATGTGGGAAAATTTAGAACTTCCTAGAGACTTCTTGAATCGTTTGGACCAAAGTGCTGATAATTATCTGGACAATTAAGTCCAGGCTGAGGTGGTCTCAGATGGAGATGAGGAACTTCTTGGTAACTGGAGCAAAGGTCATTCTTGCTGTGCTTTGGCAAAGACCCTGGCAACATTTAGCCCCTGCCCTAGAGATCTGTGGAACTTTGAACTTGAGAGAGATGTTAGAACTTATGTTTAAAAGGGAAGTATAGGATAAAAGCTTGGAAAATTTGCAGCCTGACAATGTGATAGAAAAGAAAACCTCATTTTCTAGGGATAAATTCAACCTGGATGCAGAAATTTGCATAAGTAACAAGGAGCCAAATGTTAATCACCAAGACAATGGGGAAAATTTCTCCAGAGCATGTCAGAGACCTTGGCAGCAGCCCCTCCCATCACAGACCTGGAAGCCTAGGAGGAAAAGATGGTTTCATGGGCCCAGGGCCTTGCTGCTGTGTGTAGCCTTGGGACTTGCTGCCCTGCATCTCAGCCACTCCAGCTCTAGCTGTGGCGAAAAAGCATCAAGGTACAGTTCAGGCCATTGCCTCAGAGGTGAAAGCCCCAAGTCTTGGTGGCTTCCACATGGTGTTGGGCCTACAGGTGCACAGAAGTCAAGAATTGAAGTTTGGGAACCTCCACCAAGGTTTTGGAAGATGAAAGGAAACGCCTGGAAATCCAGGTAGAAGTCGGCTGCAGGGGCAGAGCCCTTATGAACAAACTTTGCTAGGGCAATGTAAAAGGGAAATGTGGGGTTGGAGCCCCCACACAGTGTTCCCACTGTCACACTGTCTAGTGGAGCTCTGAGAAGAGGGCCACCATCCTCCAGACTCCAGAATGGTAGATCCAGTAACAGCTTGCACTGTGAGGCTGGAAAGGCCACAAGCACTAAACGCTGGCCTGTGAAAGAGGTGCTCAAGGCTGTGGGAGCTCACTCCTTGCATCAGCATGCCCCAGATATGAGACCATGGAGTCAAAGCAGGTAATTACAAAGCTTTAAGATTTAGTGACTGCCCTGTTGGATTTAAGACTTTCATGGGGCCTGTAGACCCTTTGTTTGGGCCAATTTCTCCCATTCGGAATGGGAGCATTTATCCAATGCCAGTACTCGCATTGTATCTTTGAGGGATAACTTATTTTTGATTTTACAGGCTTATAGGTGAAAGGGATTTCCCTTGTCTCAGATGCAACTTTGAACTTGGACTTTTGAGTTAATGCTGAAATGAGTTAAGACTTTGGGGAACTTTTGGGAAGTCATGATTAGCTTGAAATGTAAAAAGGATATTAGATTTTGGAGGGGTCGGGGTGGAATAATATGGTTTGGCTCTGTGTCCCACCTAAATCTCATCTGAAATTGTAATCTCCACATGTCAAGGGAGGGACCTGGTGGGAGGTGATTGGATCACGGGGGCATTTTCCCCCCATGCTGTTCTCATGATAGTGAGTTCTCACAAGATATGATGGTTTTATAAGTGTTTAACAGCGTCTCCTTTGCATGCTCTTTTTCCTGCCACCCTGTGAAGAAGGTGCCTGCTTCCCCTTTCACCATAATTGTAAGTTTCCTGAGGCCTCCCCAGCCACTTGGAACTGTGAGTCAGTTAAACCTCTCTTTTATAAATTACCCAGTCTCAGAAAAGGTATTTATAGCAGTGTGAAAATGGACTAATACGCAAACTGACCATATCTCTGGCAGACATTCAAGGCCTGGTTAAAATTGCGGGTCTGCCAGATGTCTTGACCTTGATGAGCCCTACGCTTTCCAGGGCTCACAGTGACTTTATACACTGACTTTCTCTGCAGGGGTCTTATAAACTCTCAGGGAAACTGAAAACAGACACTTCAGCTTACCTAATTCTTTAAAGTGGCAATGTTACCCTTTTCTTACACAGGTAGATTTCTGCTTTCTACTAATTTATTCAACAAAAAGCAAGTTATTATCTAGCAACACATACTCAAATTGCAGAAATATGGAGGAAATCAAGAGAGAAAGCCACGACCCCACAGCTCTTGCATTCTGTGTGCCTATATCATTAACAACATTAGGTGGTGCCAAGGATCACTGCTTGTGCTCTCTGGAAGGGTGGCCTGTGTCACACCTGGGTCCATCTGTGTCACAGCTGAAGTGGGTGAGAAGTACTGCACAGGAATTCAGGGAGTAGAGACTAGAAGTACCTTGAGCAGCAAGGTCCAAAGTCTCATGGGCACACTGGGGCTCTCTCTGGAAACCTTCTTTTCTCAAGGCCTGTGATGTGCATTGGAGCCTGAAAAATCTCTGAAATACCTTCAGTGTTATTCTCCCAATTTCTTGAAGAATACCACCTGGCTTACTTATATCCATACCAATTTCCTCAGCAAATTGTCTCTTAGCTACACTCGTAGTTTCCTCTCAGAAGCATGATTTTTATTCTTCAAATGGCCAGGTGTAGAATTTTCCAAATCTTTACGTGATGCTTACCTTTTGATTGTAAATTCTGTCTTTCAATCATTTCTCACTCCTTGCATTTTACTATAAGCACTTAGGAGATGCCATGCAGTTCCCTGAACGATTTGCTGCTTAAGAGATTTAGTCCACCGAATATCTTAGTTTATCATTCTTAATTTTTTCCTTCTACAAAGTCCTAGGACACAAGCATAATTCAACCAAATTCAAACAGAAATGGCCTTTTCCCCAGTTTTCAATACCTTGTTCCTGATTTCCCTCTGAGACCTCATCAGAATAGTCTTCACTGTCATGACTACTTAAGTTATCTCTAAAAAAAAAAAAATGAGGCTTTCTCTACAGCTTTTCTCTTGTTAGCTCTCACTAGAATCAGCTTTAACACTCCCTTCACAGCAATCTAATGTTTTTCCAGCATTCATTTCAAAACTCCTCCAGCCTCTACCCATTACCCAGCTCCAACCCAGCTTCCACATTTTTGGGTATCCGTTATAGCAACACTCTACTCTCTTGGCATTACTTTCTGCCTTAGTCTGCGCTGCTGTGAAAAAGTTCTACAGACTTTAAAAGCAATGTAAATATATAAGCAATAGGAATTGATTTTTTCACAGTTTGTGAGGTTGGGAGTCTAGGATCCAGTTGCTAGGCAGGTTCAATTGTTAGGTGAGGGTTGCTCTCTGGTTTCTAGATGGTGCCTTATTGCTGCATCCTCCCATGGTGAGGAAGGCTGTGTCTTCACATGGCAGAAGGCAGAAGGGCAAGTGACCAAATGCAGCATAACTTCTTCTATAAGGACATTAATCCCATTCACAAGCGAGGAACCCTAGTGGCCTAATCATCTCTTAAAGGCCCCACCTTTTAATACAATCATATTAGCAACATCTGAATTTTGAAGGGGACACATTCAAACCATGGCAACAATTTTGTCTTATTGAAAAATTTTCATAAAGACATAATCACTAGGAATGGTTCAATTTAAATTCACAGTGTTCATAGTAAAAATAAACATTCCGAAACTATTTAGCCGAATTGGGATTAAGGAATGACACATTTTCATTATTAAACAACACAAAAAGTGTTCAAGGTTTCCACATCCTAGATTTAACTGCCATAAACCCAGCATATTATAAAATATTATTCAAAACTGAATAAAACTCATTCCTATAAATTATCTACTGTTAGTATAATAAAGGCAAATTCTGATGTTTTCAAGATTCAATATGAAGAAATGCCATTTTGATAATGTGTTCAATATGAAAATGGGGGTTTGCATAATATTCATCGTTTCAGATTCAATTTCCCAACACCTACAACTGAAGAAATGCATTGATCATTACCTTTGTTAGAACTCCAAATAACAAAAAACTTTATTCTGAACATATTCTCCACTTTTCTCTATTATTCTATTATCTTCCATTAAAAATATTTTATCTATTCAACTCAATTGTAACCATAAAGATGTATGAGTACCCATGAACATCTTTCTCAATTGCTTTGAAACATAAAAAATACTAATTTCACTGTCCTCAATACTGCTATGATTAGAATTGCATGATGCTTGATATATGTTGCCTTCGGAAGCATTATTAAATTTTCTTTTTAAATAATCTCATTCATACAAGAATCTTACAACATAATTTGGAAATAAATGGCTCCTTCAGTGGGATCAGCAGGAATATTATTAAATAAATGATTTTCTTTGGTTATAATTAATTGGTCTGGATGACACTCCATGTTCCAGAGAAGTTTTTTTTTTACTATTCTCATTTGTGATGACAGAAATCTCAAACTTAGTCTTATAGACACTGTGGGGAAAAATTAAAGAGGATAAGAAATCTGCTCAGTACATTTTGATATAGACTGAATCGCAAATGAATTAAATGATGGTTCAGAGGTTTGTCAGTCAGCGTGTGGCTTTTGGAGGTTGCTGTTTTCCTGCCACAGTAAACTTTACACCCCTCCAATGCTCCATAGCCTAGGTACAAAGAAGAAATAGAATTCCCAAAAGCTAATGCTATTTTATATTAGTTCTGCTGAACAATTAATCAACACCTTACCAGGACTAAGAACTACATTAGATACTAGGAATACAGAAACCTGGTCATTGTCATGGAGATTGTGAGAGTGCAGTCAGAAAAAGGAAAGTGAGGATAGACCATTGTTATGTACACACTATAATGTACAAGAGATAAGTAAAAGGATTGTTGTCAGAATAAAGTGAAAGATCGGATTTAGTACTACGGTCAATTTTTTATGTGTTTTAAAATTTATTTTATTAATTTTTATGGGTACATAGTTGTATCTATGTGGTACATGATATATTTTTATACACGCATACAATATGTAATAATCACATCCATATAAATGGGATATCCATCACCTCAAGCATTCATTATTTCTTTGTGTTACAAGCATTCCAATTGTACCCCTCGGTTATTCTAAAATGTGCAACAAATTATTGCTGTCTATGGACACTCTATTGTGCTATCAAATACTAGATCTTCTTACACATTGTATCTAACTATATTTTTGTACCCATTAAACATCCCCATTTCCCCCCTTCTCTACCACCCTTCCCAGCCTCTGGTAATCATCTTTCTATTCCGTATCTTTATGAGTTCAATTGTTTTAACTTGTAGCTCCCACAAATGAGTGAGAACATGTGAAGTTTGTCTTTCTGTGACTAGCTTATTTCACTTAAAATAATGTCCTCTAGTTCCATCCATGCTATTGCAAATGACAGGATCTCATTCTGTAGCATTTCTATATGCCAAGAGGGAACAATGTGAAAAAGAAATTAAAAAAAGCAATTCCACTAACAATAACCACACATAAAATTCAATACCTAGGAATAAGCTTAAACAAAGAAGTGAAAGATTTCTGTAATGAAAACTGTAAAACACTGATGAAAAAAAATTAAAGAGAGCACCAAAAAAATGAAATGATATTCCGTGTCCATGGTTTGGAAGAATCAATATTTTTAAAATGACCATACTACCCAAAGGCATCTACCTATTCAATGTAATCCTTATCAAAATACAAATGACATTCTTCACAGAAATAAAAAATAAATCCTAGAATTTGCTTAGAATCACAAAAAGGGTGAGAATAGCCATAGCTACCCTAAGGAAAAAAAAAAAAAGCAAACAAAAAACATACAGGAATCACATTATCTGACTTCAGATTATACTACCAAGCTATGGTAACCAAAAACAACATGGTACTGGCATTAAACAGACACATATACCAATGGAAAAGAATAAAGAACCCAGAAACAAATCCACACACGTACAGCAAACTCATTTTTGACAAAGGTACCAAAAATATACACTGGGTAAAAGACAGTCTCGTCTATCAATGGTGCTGGGAAAACTGGATATCCATATGCACAAGAATGAAACTACACTGCTATCTCTCACCATATATAAAAATAAAATGGATTAAAGACTTAAATCTAAGACAACAAACTGTGAAATTCACACAAGAAGGGCCGGGCACAGTGGCTCACGCCTGTAATCCCAGCACTTTGGGAGGCCGAGGTGGGCGGATCACGAGGTCAGGAGATCGAGACCATCCTGGCTAACACGGTAAAACCCCGTCTCTACTAAAAATACAAAAAAAATAGCCGGGCATGGTGGCGGGTGCCTGTAGTCCCAGCTACTCAGGAGGCTGAGGCAGGAGAATGGCATGAACCTGGGAGACGGAGCTTGTAGTGAGCCAAGATTGCGCCACTGCTCTCCAGCCTGGGCGACAGAGCAAGACTCCGTCTCAGAAAGAAAGAAAGAAAGAGAGAGAGAGAGAGAGAGAGAGAGAGAGAGAGAGAGAGAGAGAGAGAGAGAGAGAGAGAGGGAGAGAGAGGGAGAGAGAAAGAGAGAGAAAGAAAAAGAAAGAAAGAAAGAAAGAAAGAAAGAAAAAGAAATTCACACAAGAAAACATTGGGGAAACTCCAGGACATTGATCTAGGCCAAAAGTTCTTGATT
The DNA here is from genome assembly GCF_000001405.40 of Homo sapiens. NCBI lineage: Eukaryota > Metazoa > Chordata > Mammalia > Primates > Hominidae > Homo > Homo sapiens. The sequence goes on from NC_000023.11 coordinate 147,048,130, forward strand.
GATAACCCACAAGCATAGGCAACCAAAGAAATAATGGACAGATAAAATCATATCATATTAAAAGCTTCTGCACAGCATTGAAAATAATCAATAAAGCAAAGAGGCCGTCCACATCATGGGAAAAAATATTTTCAAAGTAACCATCTGACAAGACACTAATAACCAGAATATACAAGAAGCTCAAACAGCTCTATAGAAAAAAATCCAATAATTCAATTCAAAAAATGGGCAAAACATTTGAATAGACATTTCTCAAAAGAAGATATACAAATGGCAAGCAGGCATTTGTAAAGGTGATAAATAATGACCATCAGAGAAATGTAAATCAGAACTACAGTGAGATATCATCTCACCCCAGTTAAAATGGTTTTTATCCAAAAAACAGGCAATAGCAAATGCTGGTGATGACGTGGAGAAAAGGAACCCTCATACGGCATAGATAGTAATGTAAATCAGGGCAACTATCTTGCTGTCTGGTAAGTAATACATGAAGTTAAAGGACAGAGAAGGAAAGTATGTACCAGTAAAGGAAACAATAGATCAAGAAGATATAACAATTGGAAACTAAAATATAAGTACAAAATACATCAAGCACAACTGACAGAATTATGGGAAGAAGTAAATATGCCAGTGGTTGTTTTTGCTGACTTTACTGCAGCCTACTAGAAACTGATATATACTTACATATGTTTATACATATGAATCTACACACACACACACACACACACGATTATAATGCAATACTATCAGATCTAAAAAAGAAAGGATAGATTTCCATCTTCTGCTTAGGGTGCAGAAAGCTAGGAAGTGCATTGCTCAGACCTTAAAATGCAAAATAATCTAGAAAGTCACTTCCCTTGAGCCCATCAGAACACGAAAGACACTGGGGAAACAACTAAACCAAATCTAAGTGAGGACAGGCACCTCTAAGAAGAGATGAGCTGTGATCACTACTTACCTGGGGTAGATGCTGGATTAATGAACTGTAAGGAAAAAGCAGCTAATATTTATCATGAAAATATATAACTCCTTTGATCTGCAGATATAATGAAAATTCAGACCCAATTGCAAAGCCTTCTCCATGAACCTCTCTAGGTGATTATAGTTTGAATTAGTGAAGGGCTAGAATTCAGAGAAAGCCTCTGTCTTCTTAGAGGCCTTGGATTGGGGAAAAACAGTCACTTAGGGAAAGGTACATATTCCTGTAGGGGCCCTTTTTTTTTTTCCTATATCCCGTAAAAAATAAAAGTCTTAAACTGCTGGTGGATGTGCAAAAAGCTTGTTGTCCTGAGGGCACAGGTTTCATTACAGCTGAGGCAAGAGAACAGAAAACACAAACTCTCTAGTCCTGAGGAGAAGCAGGATTTCATCCTGCTTAAAACCATTAGGAGGCTTTTACAAGCTCAGCACAACTGAGAAGGCCCCATTTCAGAGGCCAGAGACACAGTGACTACAAAAGACTGAAGTTCAATCAGGCCAAGAAATGTCAATGGATAAATATGTCAAATATTTAAGAAAGAAATAATATCTAGTTTTACATAACCTCATTAAGAGGGAACACAGCACTACTCATTCTATAAGTCCAGAATTACCTGATACAAAAACGGAAAAAAATGACAATGAAAAGAGATATCCCTTATTAACATATTTATAAAATGCCATCAACAAGACCATGGGAAATAAATACATAGATAGAGAGAGAAATATAACACGACTTTGTGGGGTTTGTCTAAGAAATGGAGTTGGTTAAACATTTAAAAATCAATGTAATCCCTTGTATTAAAAAAGAAAAGACATATGAGCATCTTAATAGATGCAGAAAAATCATTAAAATACTTTAACATCTGTTTCTTATAAAAGCTCTCTGCAAATTAGGAATAGAAGGGAACTTCTTCATTTAGATAAATGGCAATCATAAAAATAAAATTTAAAGATCTCCTACAATTATGAGATTTTGCGTAATTGTAAAAGACTGAAAGCTTCCTCAATACTATTGAAAACAAGACAAGAATGTCCACTCTTGACACTTGTATTCAACAGTGTGGTAAAGCTCTGACCATGAAGTCAGATTAGAAAAATATGTAAAACGTATCCAGTTTGGAAAAAAATAAGCGAAATTGCATTTATGTGCAGATTCCATATCACCTATGTAGAAAATCTGATGAAATCCACAAAAATGTTACTAGTACAAGTGAGATGAACAAACTTGTAGAATACAAAATCCGTACACAAAAATTATATTTTCATATACAAGTTCAATCAGATACTGATGATTAAAAAGTACCATTTACAATAACATCTGTCATACAAAATACTTAGGGTTAAATCTGTCAAAATATATGAAAGAAAACAACTCAATTTAAAAAGGGAAATAAAGAGTCGAACAGGCAAAACAACAAGGAGATAAAGGGATGGCTTGTAAGCCCATGGGCTAAAGATGTTTAACTTTACTAGTCATTATGGAAATATCAATTAAAATCATAATGTGAAACCATGATACATTTATGAGAATGCCTAACATTAAAAAAATTGACCGTATCAAGTATGGTGAAGATTTGGTGGAGCTGAAACCTTCACACACTGCTGGTAGAAAATTAAAACACTACAATGACTTTGGAAAACAGTTTGGTATTTTCTAGTAAAGTGAAACATACATCTACCTTATAGTCTAGATACTACACTGTTGGCATTTACCCAATATATATGAATGCATATATCCACTCAAAGACTTGTATAATTTTTTTTAAAACAGCTTTATTTATAGTAGCCAAAAAGTGGAAACAAGTCGTGTGCTCATCAACAGGACAATGAATAAACAAATTTGGCATATCTGCTTAATGTAATACTACTACTAACCAATGAAAAGGAATGAAATATTGATATATGCAACAACATGAATATATATCAAAATGATCATGCTGATCGAAGAAAGTTAGACTTAACAGACTACAGAGATAAAAGAGTATATACAGTATGATGTCAGTCATTTAACATACAAAAAACATAAACTATACTGACAGAAAACATCAATAGTTACTTAGGGATGAGCATAGAGAGGAATGAAAGAGTGATTGCAAAGAGAAAAAGGAAACTTAAGAGCAATGAAAATATTTCCTATTTTGATTGTGGTGATGGTTTAATGGGTACACATATATATCAAAACTAATCAAGTGTAAAATGTCAAGATGTGTGGCTTATGGTAGCCAGTTCTACCTTAGTAATGCTATTTAAAATGAAGAGAAACAAACGAGGAAAGAAAAAAAACCTCCAGCAACTTGGGCCAAATTATGAAGGATGTTAGCCAATAAAATATCCCCCTCCAGTGGCATAATAAGTGTATTTGACCTCCGGAAAGGCACTTTTTAAAACACACTCTCTTCAATATAAAAAATTAGTAATTAGTAATAGGAATTTAAAGAAATAATCAGAAAAAAAATTGTAAATCTTTTATTGAATATTTTATGTGTAACTATGAAAGTAAAAAGAAATTTTTAAGGAAAGCAAACAGTGTACAAGCAGTACAATTTAGGCAATTACTGAATCATAGAACAAATGTAATATTTTAAGTTCTGGATTTAATATAAAGAATAGTAAGTGCGCCTTTAAAGATTTTTCAAATTCAATAGGATAGTCTACATTCAAATACAATAAAATTTGCACTATCCTTCAAAAATTTTACACCTTGCAGTTCATACTTTGTTTCTAATTTAGACATAAAATCAAAATATTTGGTTACGAAAAATGACAGAACTGTGAAAGATTAAATTGCTCTTTGTCAGCATTGACTGTGCTTTCATTATTTTAATAAGCTAATGTTTAAAAGCAGGAGTATTTGTGTCACACATTACTACAGAGATTGTAGAGTGGAAGTGCACTTGAAGCAAGCTCTAACACACCAACAGTTCCACGCCATCAAGAAACTACTTTAGAAAGGAGTAGAGGTAGCTGGATCAGCTTCTATCTTGGCCCAGCAGTCTAACAGAGTTATTCAAATAAAATTCCTTGTACAATATGTTGACTAAAATTAGCATATAAATATGCTAATTTGAACTGTATATATGTATATATGTGTATATATACACATATACAAATATATAAATATATATGTAAAAATATATATGTATAAATATGTATATATAAATATATATATAAATATATATGTGTATATATACACATATACAAATACATATGTGTATACACACACACACATATATATGTGTGTGTGTGTGTGTGTGTGTGTGTTTCAAATGAGCACTTCCTATCTGAGTTCTGGCAAGGTAGACACTGATGTCACCCCCACCCCAAACAAAGGCAGAAACACAACATTCTTGCCTGAGTATTGATAATTAGGAGAAAATTTGTCTTCAGCACTTAGTCCTCAACCAGTACTAATCTCTCATGTCCAGCTCATTGTGGACCTACTGGTTTCATCGCCAACCTGCAGGACTCTACTTCCCTCCCTTCTCATATCCCTGCCTATTCCCTTATTGCCCTCCTTTCCCACCATCAGAGAACTCACAAAGAAACACATATATTCCCTAAAATGAGGGTCTTTTAACAACTTGTTGATTTTAATTTTAATCATTAGCATTTATGCATTCTGTTGTTGTATTATTCAGTCTCTACATTGTTGATCATTTTAGGTTTCTGGAGATAGTGGATATTTTGAGGTCTCCGTTCCTCTCTCTATACTTACTGACTCCATTTGAGGTAGTGGAGTTCTTCAAGGTCTCTTGATCCTGAACTGGCTGATTTTGATTCAGTTTCTCATTCAGCCTTTGTTAACGGCCAAATAGTATTGTATCTCTTGAAATGTTGGCTTTCTTGAAAAAATGGTAGATATTAGAGAAATTTTTTTTCTAGAATCCCTAAAGGGCTATTTTTACCTTCCCGATTATCTCCTGTACCTGCTAGAAAAACAGTGGTCCCAGAGGGCATTGGTTTTATGGAAGAAGATGAGGGCGTATGGGAAGAGGCACTTCATAAGAAGAGGTGCAGGCAGAGGAAGGGATTCCTGTTAGGCAAAGAGAGAGTGGGAATTTTGAGGGAAACTATATGAGGGAGAAAAAGAAGGGCATCAGTAACGTTGTTTGTACTTAATGATAACCTGAGTTATTGACAAGAAACAGAAGGTGTTCCCCCTAAGATTTAGAAAAAGACAAGGATGTCTGTCCTCACTACTTCTATTCAACATTGGTACAGAACATTTTAGCTAGTGTATTGAGGCAAAAATAAAATAAATAAATACAAAGGCATTATGTTTGGGAAAGAAGAAATAACCCTGTCTCCGTCTGCAGATGACATGATTGTCAAAAGCAAGTTCCAAAGAATCTTCAAAAAAGTTTCCAGGACTAATAAGTAGGTTTACTAAGTTTTCAGAATACAATTTTAACATAAAAAGATAACTTCTATTTCTAGATATCAGCAAAAAAGCATTGGAAATTAAAATTATAAAAATAACACCATTTATAGCAGCATCAAAAATAAGAAACAATTAGAAAAAGATCTGACAAAATATACGTGCAAAATTTAAGTTGAAAATTTCAACAAATTACTAATAGAATTTAAGAAAGATCTAGCCAGGCACAGTGGCACATGTCTGCAGTCACAGCTACTCGGGAGGCTGAGGCAAGAGGATCTGCTTGAGGCCAAGATGTCGAGGCTATAGTGCATGATTATTACACCTGTGAGTAACCACGTCACTTCAGCCTGGGCAACATTGGGAGACCCCGTGTCTAAAAAAATAAGAAATACAAGAAATATCTAAATAAAAATGAGTTACATCATGTTCATTGACTAGAATGCTCAACACTTTAAAAATATCCGTGATCTTTAAATATCTTCCCAATCAAAAACCTGGCAGGCATATTTTATATATGCAAACAATTTTTTAAAAATCACATGAAAACAGAACATAGAATAGCCAAATAACTTTGAGAAAGAGCAAAGAAGAAATACACTATGTGATTTCAAGACTTATTATATAGCTATAGTAATCAAGAGAGTTATTAAAAATATATCTTATTTTAAAAAACAGGTCACTAGAATGGAATCAAATTCCAATATAAATTCGGGAATATATGGTATATTATAGTTTTTTAGGGATACAGAAGAAATAGGATATTTCTGTCTGTCCATCTAGATAGATAATTTTTATAAGAAATTGGCTCATGCCATTATGGAGGCTGAAAAATCTCACAATTTGCCATCTGCAAGCTGGAGATCTAGGGAAGCTGGACGTGCAGCTGTGAAAATCAGAGAGCTTGTGATGCAAGTCCCCTTTGAGGGCAGGAGAAGGCTGATGTTTCAGTTCAAGCAATCGAGCAGAGAAAATTAATTTCTCCTTCTTCCACCTTTTAGGACTTCAACAGATTAAATAATGCCCATCCATACTGGGGAGGGCAATGTGCTTTACTCAGTTCACAGATTTAAATGGTCATTTTATCATGAAATACTTTCACAGGGACATCCAGGAATAATGTTTAAGGACTTACTGTCCCAATCAAGTTGACAAAAACTTAACCATCATAAGTTCACCCTGCACCAACTTAAATAATATAACATATTTATAATATATATTATTTAAATATAAGTAATGAATTACAGTTCAGCAATTAAATATAAAAACTATCTTTTGCTATAACATGGAAAAAACTGGAAGCCATTATCTGAAGTAAAGCAATTCAGAAACAAAGACAAATGCCACATGTCCTCACTTATAAGACCTAAATAATATGTATGTATAGACATAGAGTGTAGAATGATAGACATTAGAGACTCAGAAAGATGAAGCAGTCATAGGGAGTTGGATGATTACTAAATGGGTACAATAAATATTATTTGACTAATGGATACACTAAAAGCCCACACTTCACCACTACACAATATATCCATGTAACAGTGTTTCATTTGTACCCCTTAAATTTATACAAATAAAAATTAAAAATTTTTAAAAGAACAAAATGCTGTTCCTTTCATTATGGAAGTAGTCCAATATAATCAACTTGTCACTAGGTAGCAGGCTGATCACCCCAGAAATAAATGTCATATCATGGATTCAGCGTTGGTCTGTCATGCTGGCAGATTGGGCACTCAGCAGTGGCCATAGCCAGGTCAGCCTCAGTGAGTGTAAGTTCATGTTGGTGAGCTCATGCATAGGCTTCATCCCTGCCACTATGGCCATCGTGTTCGTGAACCCATTGGGCAATGACGGCCGTGATTGCAGAACGAGGCTGAGTGCTAACCACAAAACAAGTCATCCTTTCCACCTGACTATTAAAATCTTCTTCTGAGATCACCAGTTTGTGAGAATTCATATGGAAGACAAAGATCTTCAAGATATTTTTGCCCATTCAGAGAGATCTTTTCATATACCTCTTTCCTTATTTTCTTTTTTTCCAATTTTTCAATCATGTTCCTTGGCCACCGTCTGCGAATTGGTAATAATCACACATCTGGCCATTTTCATTCCAAGCAAAGTAAACAACCAGTTACACTTCTCGAGATTCTATCCACTGGAAAGGTTTTTCTTCACTGCTGTCCTTTAGAAATATCCCAGAAAGAGGCTGAAGTGCTACAGCGGTCCACTTTACATGGTGCCTGCATGTCATACAGCACTGTATGTAAAACCATGCCTAAGTCTCTTCTTCCTCTGTCTCAAAAAGAAAAAAAAAAAAAACAAAAACCAGCCAGGCATGGTGGTGTGTGCCTGTAATACCAGCTACAGGAGGCTGAGGTGGGAAGATCACTTAAGCCCGGGGGCAGAGGCTGCGGTGAGCCAAGATCATGCCACTGCACTGCACTGCACTCCAGCGTGGGTGACGGAGCGAGAATCTGTCTCAAAAAAAAAAAAAAAAGGTACAAATACACCACAAAATTACTACATAACCAAAGAAAGAATGAAATCATTTCCTTTGCAGCAATATGGATGCAGTTAGAGGCCATTATCCTAAGTGAATTAACACAGAAACAGAAAACCAAATATCACATGTCCTCACTTATAAGTGGTAGCTAAACACTGAGAATACCCTTCATGAGGCCGTAGGTACAGGCTGGGAGAGAGAAGGCAGGGTAGCAGGAGTGGGGATCATGGGACCAGGAGTTGGGCCATTTCTTCGTGTAACTTACTTGTACCTTTAGAGCTTGCTAAGGCCTGATCATGTATATGCTACTTCCATTTCATGATGCAGTTTTGCTGTGTATACCTGATTTTTTTGCTTAATGTATCAGAATACTCAGTTTATCACGGGGAGCCCAGGTCACACGGTAACTTTTTGGCCCAAAGTTTAGCATTCAGTCTCTACTAAGATGCAGTAGCAGGCCAAGATCTGTTTCTTAAAACAATTAAAGAAGTAATTATTATTACAGCATAATAAGACTTTGCTCCAAAATCCTAAGGGCCTGTGCTATGATCCAAAGGGGCCTGCTGTAGGCTCCAAAGTGCAACCCTATTTGACATTGACACTTCAAGCACCACTGGACATGCTGAATCTTACGACCCAAATGGCAGAGCAGATTGCACAACAGTCTGGATGTTTTGCAGAGCCTTCTCCTTTTCTGGATCCTATTCAAAACCAGCACCATTGGGGTCAGTCTGTATATGGGCTGGAATAACACACCCAAATGAGAAATATGTTGCCTACAAAATCCATAGAAGCCCACTAGGTGTTGTGCCATTGCTTTCGTTGTAGAAGGAGCCAAGTCCAACACAATTACTTATTCTCCATCTTAAGAGAGTTGTCTCAATATGGTCCATGCCATTGGCCTCCTAGAAATTTCACTTGGGTAAGAAGGCCCCTGATTTTTTGTTGGATACATTATTGACCCTCGGCCTTGGAAATACCTGATCATAAGTCCAGAGTAGTTGTTATATCTTGCTCACTAGGTCCAATAAACCTAACGGCATTAGTGTAATTGACAAGTGAGTTTTCCTGTGGAAGGGAAAAGCAATCAAGATTTTTGAGAACTAAATTATGACATAGAGATAGAGAGTTGATATATCCTGAGATAGTACAGTGAAGATGTATTGCTGGTCTGGCCAGCTGAAAACAAAGTGCTTCTGGTGGGCTTTATTAATAGGTATGAAGAAAAAACAATATCATTTGCCAGATCAGTAGCTGAATCTCTGGTACCAGGGAATGTGTCAATTTGCTCAGGCAAAGGAACCACCTTTGTTACAACAGCTACAATTTGAGTCACCTCCTCATTAAGCCTATAATAGTTTATCATCTTTCTTCAAGATCCATCTGTCTTATACAAAATCCAAATAAGCAAGTGGAGTGAGGATATGGTGGAAACTATTACCCTGTGTTCTTCAAATTTTAATGGTGCCACTAATTTCTTTAAACCCTCCAGGAATATGGTATTACTTTTGGTTTATTGTTTTTCTAGGTAGAGTAATTTCTAATGACTTCTACTTGGCCTTTTCTGCCATAATGACCCGCAATCCACTGGTTAGAGAGTCAATGTAGAGATTCTGCCCCTTGCTGAGTATAGCTACTCCAATTATAGTGGGTAGGCTACTTCCACTGGAGGAGGAGAGGCAGATTCCATTGGTGGTTGGGAGACCTCTTCCAGTAACAAAAACTCATCAGAATATAGAGGGTCATTGACCCCACCTCGTCAATTTTATCTCACATGAGGAACCTGAGCTGACTCTTACAATCTTGCTCTCTTACCATGTGATGCATTCTGCCATGTTATGATGCAGGAATAAGGCCCTCAGCAGATGCTGGAGCCATGCTCTTGGACCTCCTAGCTTTGAAAACTATGATCCAGGGGATGAGTTTGCCCAAGGCCTTGGGGGTTCACCCTCTACTCTCGTGTTCCAGAATGGAGCCAAAGGAAGACAATACCCAGCTTTAAGACTTAATGTTGTTTTCCCTGTTGGATTTTGGACTTACCTGTCACAAGTTCCCCTTTTTTTCTTGCTTCTTTTCCTTTTTTTGGAATGGGAATCTCTATCCTATTCCTGTCCCACCATTGTATTTTGAAAGTGGATAACTTATTTAATTACACAGATCACAGCTGGAGAGAAATTTACCTTGAGAGGAATCATGGCTGGATTGTCACCCATGTCTGACTTAGACGAGACTCTGGACTTTGAAATTTTGAGTTGGTGCTCAAGTGGGGCTGGGTGGAATGCTATAGTTTGAATTTTTTCCCCAAATTTCATGTGTTGAAAATGTAATTCCAAATTTCAAATATTGATTGAAAGTGAGGCCTTTGGGAGGTAATTAGAATTAGATAAGGTCATCAAGGTGGGGCTTCAATGAGAGGACCAGTGACCTTATAAGATGAGGAAAGGAGACCTAACTGACATGCACGCTCTTCCTCTCTTGCAATGTGACGTCCTCCTCCATGTGAGGATGCAGCAATAAGGCCCTCACTAGATGCTGGTGCCATACTCTTAGACTTCCCAGCCTTCAAAACTGTAAGCCAAATAAATTCAGTTCTTTATAAATTACCCAGTCTCAGGGATTGAATTATAGCAACAGAAAATGGACTAAAACACAGTCCTGGGTATTTGCCTAAGGAAAATCAAAACATATGGAAGTCAAAGACATACACAAATGTTCATAACTTTATTTTTAACAATCAAAAACCTGAAATAGGCCAGGCATGGTAGCTCATACCTTTAATCTCAGCACTATGGGAGGCTGAGGAGGGAGGATCGCTTGAGCCCAGGAGTTCAAGACCAGCCTGGGGCAACATGGTGAGCCTGGCAAGATCTCATCTCTATAAAAAATAAGATAAAATAAATTTGCTGGGCACGGTGACACACACCTGTGGTCCCAGCTACTTGGGAGGCAGAAGTGGGAGGATTGCTTGAACCCAGGAGGTAAAGGCAGCAGTGATCCATGTTCATGCCATAGCACTCCAGCCTGGCTGACAGAGCAAGTACCCAAGTACCTGTCTCACAAACAAACAAGGAAAAAAAAACTGGAAATAAATAAAATAAGTATTTCTAATTTCTAACTTGGGAAATTGATAAACCAATTTTGACATATAGATAGCATTTGAATCTACTCGGCCATGAAAATGAATGAATTATTGCTTAAAAGAATATGAATGGTCCTGAGTGGCATTATCAAGTCAAACCAGACTCTAAAGGAGACACTTTTAACAAGATAAAACTACAGGGAAAGTAAAGAGATCAGTAGCTTCCGGGGCATGGGGCTGTGGGAAGATGTTTACAAGGAGAATATGGGAATCTTTTGAGTGCCTCATAGTTACACAATGTATAATTATATCTATTTGGGAAAACTCACAAAAATGCACAACAGAACTAAAGTATGCCTTCATAAAAATTCAGATAATATAGAACTGCCTGTACATCCGGGGTTTGAAAAAATACTAGTATATACCCCTTATATCAAAATGTGAGGAATTTAGCTAAAATATTATTTTCCTCTTTCATCAGATTTTTGTTCCTCCAATGGTACTCCTCTGTTTAATTCAATCACTGTCTTTTTCCACTGAAATGGAAATTTTGTTTTGTGAAATTCATACATCTGTTGTGTAAGACATTTTATCAGTGTCATAAAATATTAATATTAATGTTTTCTAGAATAGTAATGCTGAGAAAACAGACTCAAACATTAGACTAAGATACAGGAAATTTGTATTTTATTCCTGTCCCAGTAGCTATTTCACAGGTGATCTTGCCCAATCACCTTCCCTCTCAGAGCCCCATAAAGAAAGAACTTTGTAAAATGAGAAAGGAGGACTAGATGATCTCTAAGACCCCTTCAAATTTCAGTGCTTTGTGGTTCTATCTAGAAATCAGAATCAACATATTGAAAATTAACTAGCAGCTTCATAATTTCTAAAGTCATGTTTTCATCCAAGAATCCTGTTTTCTAATTCATTATTATGGATTACTCATGCAAATTAATTTTTTTCAGACTTTTTTTTGTTTTCATTAAGACTTTATTCAGAACTTTGATCTTTGTGAAAATAACCTTCTTTAGCAGGAAAGCTGTCTAAAGGCAGAGCCAATTAGTTGATGATAACTTCATAACAGCAAGTCATAAAGTTCATCTGAACGTAGAATACTAATTTTTCTCCTAATATTTTCTACATTCAGTTTTCAATTTTGAGTTTAGCAAATGCTTATTAAGCTCACTGTTTGCTCACATCTATATACTGCAATTTTAACGTTATTTTTTGTGCACAGTAAAACTCATATTTCATTCATTAAATGGTTAATGAACTTCTACAATGTGCAAAGCTAGTAATTTACATTTTGGGAGGAAATAGACACATTAAAATCCACTGCAATTTACTTTTTGCAAATTACAGAAATGCCCTCTTGCACAGAGATTCTGCTATGCTCTATAGCAGTATTTCCCAAACCATCTCATATCATGTTCCTCATAGAAAAATAGTATCTGTAAAGCCCACTGGGATCAACAGAAAAGGCAGCTCAGGGTACTGAACCATCCTAGTACATCCAGTTGCTCTAGGTGTCAATCAGCTAACCTGGTTGATATCGCCATACACCTGTAACCCATTTGCAGCATCTCACTCTGCCCTGCACTTTCCTATCACCCACAGCTAACAGGTCACTATTATCTAATTATCATGCCCTGGAGGTATATGAATATGGGTAAAAGATGAATAGCGTACTATAGTTATAAGCAATATGCTGGGTTCTGAATATTACAAAGGTAATTAAATGTAGCAGCTGCTTTAATCATGATTGCGGACTACGGGAGAGAGGGTAAAGATATTATTTTTAGCATATAGTATGATAAGTACCATAAAAGCATGCACACTGTGTAATTGGAGCACACAGAGTGTATTAGTTTAGGTCCTCTGAAAAGCAGACACCAAGAAATCTTTAGATTTGTAGGAGATCTGTTGGGGGACATGATCAAGTATAGGCAAGGAAGTTTCAGATGGCAAAGCAGGTATGACTTCTGTGAAGAAGGGGAAGGAAGAGTTTTATCCTGTGGTACATTTATAAGAAAGGTTTTTCTGGGCCAATGAGGCATTCTCAAGCCAAAATGACCTATTAGAGGTATCCACAGGAATGGGCCAGCATTAATGCCCAGTTATTGGCTAGGAGCCAAAGACCTTAACTGCGTCTGTAAAAATGAGTGTCCAAGTAAGGTGAAATACAAGTTTTCTCATTTTATTTTACTTACCGTGGATCTCTGTTTATTTGTATGGCTCCATAACCAGGAAGAAAACTGCTCATTTCAGTAACTGAACGTAATTATAGAGTATCAGGTTAACAGTAGATTTTTCATATACTCCCTTTATCACGTTTAAGGAAGCTCACTACTATCCCTAGAATGTTGAGGTTTTTTTAATCACAAAACCTTATTGGATTTCTTTAAGTGTTTTTCCTTGAATCAATTAAAATAATCATTTGTGTAGCAAATAGGTTTATTAAAAATGCTTGACATGGCTAATAATCAGGGAAAAATAAATGAAAACCGCGATGAGGTATCACCTCATACTTGTTATAATGGCTGTTATAAAAAAGGTTAAAGATAGTAAGTGTTGTCAAGAATGTAGAGAAAAGGGAATGCTTGCACACTGTGGGTGAAAATGTAAATTAGCAGAGCCATTATAGAAAACAGTATGGAAGATCTTCAGAAAATTAAAAATAAAACTACCATATAAACAGCAATCCCATTTCTGGGTGTGTGTGTGTGTGTGTGTATATATGTGTGTATATATATGTGTGTATATAGATGTGTATATATATGTGTGTATACTGATATATATATACAGACATACTGATTTCAATTTTATATATATAATATATATAATATATATACAAAATATATATAAAAAATTGAAATCAGTATGTGAAAGAGATATCTGCACTTTTATGTTCATTACAGTATTATTTACAATAGCCAAGATATGGACTCAACCTAAGTGTCCATTAATGGATGATTGATGAAGAAAATATATGGTATATATCCATAATAGAATACTACTCAGCCTGAAAAAAGAAAATTCTGTCATTTGTGACAACATGACAACATGGAAGAATATGAAGGACATATAATGCTAAGTGAAGTAAGCCAGGCATAGAAAGACAAATACTACATTATCTCTTACATGTGGAATCTCAAAAAAGTCACACTTATAGAAGTAGAGGGTAGAGGGTAGAATAGTTGTTGACAGAGACTAAAAATCCAGTGGAGAATGGCGAAATGTTTACCAAAGAATAAAAAGTTTCATTTATTCAATGTCTATTGCACATCACTATCATTATTCATTATTAACAATGGTTAATAATAATGAATCATGTATTTCAAAATTACTAAAAAATGTTAAACATTCTCACTATAATAGTAAGTATTGAGGTGATAGATACATTATTTATCTTGATATAATCATTTTACAATTATACATATATTAAAACATCACATTTTACCCCATAAATACATACAATTATTTGTCAAAAATAAAAATTTAAATGGAAATAATTATTTGTGCTTTTTCTTCTTGATTCTATTAACGTGGTGTATTATTTCAATTACTTTTCATATATTGATCCACCACTGCATTGTTGGGATAAATCCCATTTAGCTATGTTGAATAAGCCTTTGAATATACTGCTGAATTTGGCTTGCTAGTATTTTCTTGAGGATTACTTTATATTTATAAGAATTATTGGTCTGTAATTTTTTTGTGTATGCGTGGTACTTTTCCTTGTTATGGAACGAAGGTATTGATGACCTCATGGAATGATTTAGTAGGTATTTCCTCATCTTATAGTCTTTTAAGAGTTTGAGAAAAATCGGTGTTTATTCTTCATTTGTTTGGGAGAATTCACCCAGTGGAGGCATCTGGTCCTGGGCTTTATTTGATGGGAAGTTTTTGATTACTGACTCAATATTTTTACTTGTTATAGGTCTCTTCAGATTTTCTACTTTCTCTTGATTCTGTGTTGGTAGTTTGTGTGCTTTTAGTAATTTGTTTATATCAAATAAATTGTTGATATACAATTGTTCACAGTATTCTCTTATGATCCATGGATTTCTGTAAGGTCTGTAGTAATTTCCTGACTCTCTGAATTTAGTAATTTTGGTCTTCTTTTATTCTGAGTTATTCTAGATCAAAGTTTGTCAATTTTCTTTGTCTTCAAGAAACCAATATTTTAAAAATAATCTCTGTTGTTTTTATATTCTTTACTTTGAATACTGTGCTCTTTACTATGCTCTTTTTGAAATGGGTGTCAATTTAAGGGGTAGAAGTTAAGTTTTGTTACATGGATATATTGCATACAGTCCTTCAAGGTCAGCAGAAGTTAAAAGAATAGGGCCGTCGCAGGTTTTTCTTGTACATGTGCAGAGCTCTCAGCATGTATGTGACCTTGTAGATTCCTAGGAATATATTTGATCTTTTCAAAGCTCTTGGGGATATCTCACTTCACACCCTTTCCTCCCAAGGTTTTTTATTAGTGTAATATTTTACCCAACTGTTATCTGCCACCTCATGCAACAGCAACCTAAGATATTAGCTTATAAATGTGGTTGACAAATACTCCTGGGAAGCAACATCAGCATTAGACCAGTTCCCACTTAAATGAAATAAAGATGTACTTTTTGAACAGCTCTTCCAAGGAGTCACCAGAGAAGTCAGAACAAATAATTACAATTCTTTGTGAATGATGTCTGTTCTGCTCCCTACAGTACTGGGCACTAGTACCTGGAATGCAGGCTGTTATTTTCATGGTTATGGCTGATATGGGGAACAGAGAATGAAACTTGTATAAATTAAAGTGTCACAAATTTTACTGTTCTTATGAATAATGAGCTTTTTTGGAATAAGCATTTCCAAGGTCATGACAAGCCATTTGTCAGTTGCCAGAGCTTGGATGAAGTTGGTTCTGATAGTTTTTGTGTGTTCTTTTTTTCTCTTATGGAAGAGTGGAATTCATAGTTCCTTACTCTGCCAATTTGGCTGATGTCACTCTATAATTTGTGTATGTTTGTGTTGTATTCTGCAATGTTGCAAAGCTCAGGTATTCTAACAATATTTTAGTGGATTCCTTGAATTTTTCTATATACAAATTTATGTAATATTTGAAAACAGATAGTCTTACTTTCTTTACAATCTGAGTGACTTTACCCTTTTTTTTCTTGCATAATTTCCCGGGCAAGAACCTACAGTACAATTGTAACCGCCCGGTGGGTTCATCTTGTCTGCTGCCTAGACACAGCCGATTTATCAAGACGGAGGAATTGCAATGGAGAAATAGTAATTCACGCAGAGCTGGCTGTGCGGGAGACTGGAGTTTTATTGTTACTCAAATCAGTCTCCCTGAGCATTTGTGGATCAGAGTTTTTAAAAATAATTTGGTAGGTAGGGGCTTGGGAAGTGGGGAGTGATGATTGGTCAGTCAGGTTGGAGATGGAATTATAGGAGGTCAAAGTGAGTTTTTCTTGCTGGCTTCCGTTCCTGGGTGGGATGGAAGGACTGGTTGGGCCAGATTACTGGACTGTGTGGTGTCAGATGATCCATCAAGTACAGGGTCTGAAAAATATATCAAGTACTGATATCAGGTTTTGCAACAGTAATGTCATCCACAGGAGCAATCTGGGGAGGTTCAGACCCTTGGAGCCAGAGGCTTCATGATCCCTAAACTGTAATTTCTAATCTTGTAGCTAATTTGTTGGTCCTGCAAAGGCAGACTGGTCCCCAGGCAAGAAGGGAACCTTTTTGGGAAAGAGCTATTATCAGTTCTGTTTCAGAGTCAAACAATGAACTGAATTCCTTCCCAAAGTTTGTTCAGCCTACGCCTAAGTATGAACAGACAGCTTAAAAGTTAGAAGCAAGATGGAGTCGGTTAGGTCTGATCTCTTTCACTGTCATAATTTCCTCAGTAATTTTGCAAAGGCAGTTTCACAATGTAAAGTAGAAGTGTTGAGAGTGGACATCCTTGTTCTGTTCCAAAACTTACGGGGAAAGCATTTAGCCTTCCACCATTTAGAATGATGTCAGATGTGGAATTTTCATAGATGCCATTTAACAGCCTGAAGAATTTTTTTTTTTCTATTCCTGGTTTATTGAGTAATTTTTATCATTAAAATATGTTAGATTTTGTTAAATACTCTTTCTGCAACCATCAGAATAATCATGAGTTTTTTTTTCTCTTTATTGTGTTAATGGGGGTATATTATGGTAATTGATTTCAGTATGTTAAAACAAATTTGCATTTCTAGTCCAGATAGCATTTTATAAACATTTATAATCATTTTTGTATGTTGCTGTATTTTATTTGCCAGTATTTTTGTTGAGGATTTTTGCAGTTATTGTACCGCAATCTTTATTATTTCCTTGCTCATGCTTGCTTTGTCTTTAGTTTGCTTCATTTTCCAGTTTCTTTTGTTGGAAAGTTACAGTAATGATTTGGAATTTTTTTCTTTTTAAAGATAGATTTTAAAACAGTAACTTTTTTTTCTGTAAGCATTACTTTGACTTAATCTCCTATATTTTGGTATGTTATTTTAAAAAATTCATATCAAAGTATTTCTAAATTCTCCTCTTCATTACTTCTCTGATTGGTTATTTAAAAGTATGCTACTTAATTTCCATATTTTTTTTAATTTTACAAATTTCATTATCTTTCTTGTTTCTAATTTAATTTCAGTGTGTTCAGAGAACATTCTATTATCTCAACTCTTTAAATCTATTGATGCTTATTTTATGTTGTAACATGTAGTCTATTTTGAAGAATGTTTCATGTGCATTCGAGATGAATCTGTATCCTCCTGTTGTTGCATGGAATGTTCTATAAATATCTTTTATGTCTAATAGGTTTATGGTTTTATTTGTCTTTTAAACATTTGTCTATCTTCTCCCTATTTGTCTTATACATTATTGAAAGAGGGTTATTCATATTTTTTTGTTTTATTGTTTAATTTTCTATTTTTCATTTCAATTCCCTAATTTTAATATATTTAATTACGACCTTTAAATACCTTCCTTTGCTTCTGGATTTGTGTTTACTTTGGGGAACACATTCCAATTCAGGCAGTTAATAAATCTGTTCTGGCTTTTACTTAGTGTGTGCTCAAAGTCTCTCATTTATTCAAAAATAACTATCTAGTTAGAGTCTTCTCTAGTCTTTCCTGGGCATGTACAATCTTGCACAAGTGTGAAGGCTTCTAGATCCCTGAGTCTATTCTAAAGTTTATCAAGGCCCATCCTACCTGTCTTGATTCATGTAATTCCTATTTAATTTTTGGCTTATTTCCACGTATACTGTGCTTGCCTTAGCCAAGATTTCATCTTCAGTCTTGCCATGGTGTTGGACTTCTTGGATAGTTTGCTATTGTTCCTGGATTGTCCTGCTATTGTTGTCAACAACATGCATCAGCAACAAGCCTCACTTCTACCCCAAGCTCTGGCCCATATTAAACATGTGCCTTCTTACGAGAAAATTAAACATCCTCACAGCCTGTCCCACCCTGGTTGAACTACTATACTATGGAGATGGGCTCCATGATGAAAGCATTTCCAGTCTAAAATGCCACAGTCTTCCACTGTTCCTACTAAGTTTCAGTAGATTTTTTTCCATGAAAAAGCACTTGCCAAATTTTTGTATGACTTTGTTGATTTTCTAGAGTCAGAAGTCTAGAAGTAATTGTCTTTGACATTTTTATTGAGTTGTATTAGTATTTGTTTTGAGGGAGAGCACTTGCCAAGCTCCTCACTTGTGTGTTCTGTGAGATCTGGAGTATTCCAATGCTTTCCTATAGGTTATACTTCCACTCTCAAAGGCAATGTACAAAGGTTCTGTTTTCTCCACCCCTTCATTAAATGTCGAATCTGGACATGTTACTTCCCTGATTTACAAGCCTTCATTGTGCCGCAGCCCACCCTGAGTTTATTTTATAATTCATTTCATGATCAGATCTGGGTTGCCTTGCTACTGCTACCCTCTATCCCACATTTATCCTTTACAATTTCTAAAATGTGACATGTTTCATTATGCCTCCAGGCTTTTGTTCATATTACTCCATCAGCTTGGAGTATTCTTCCACCTGGATAATGTCTCTTAGTCTCTAAAGACCTAACATAAAAATCACCACACCTAGGAAGGCTCACTCTACTAACTTAGGCAGCTTTGGTGACAGTCACCATTGCTCTAATAGCATACCTATTATTGCATATACATTTTGCATTGAAATTACCTGTTTCATATCATTAATTTTCCCAATTGACCATGACTTACTTTGAAACAAGAAGAACTACTCGTTGTTTTAATTCCAATGTCTAGAAGAGTGGTTAGCACATAGTAAGCAATAAATAACTACTGAATTGAAATAAACTTTAAATGAATCAATGTGAAGCAGAGACAGATGATTGCAAATCCAGAAGTCATAGAAATTACTTTCCATTGAGAATAATATATACCTGATTATGTGCAAATAACAATAATGAAGCCATCAGCAATAACAACAGCTTCCTTTTATTGAGTTGCCAAAATGAGTCAGGTGTAGAATAAACGATTTATGTGTATTCTCATTTTATCTGCACAACACTTATAAGAAGTGCCAGCATTTTTATCTCTTTCAGTTTGGGATCAAGGCCATCTGAATATGAGATTTAATCAGCATGCATTTTATACTTACTAATATGATTTTCACTCATTTTTTTCTAATTTCTATTTATGTTATGCTTTGGATAGACTCTCCAAGCACATTTGCTCGCCAATGCCTTCATAATCCTTCTATAGTTCTCATCCTCTACAGGTTTAATGAAGTAGGTAGATTTTTCCCTTAATTAGTAGATGAGAAAATGGGTAAATTGTTTAAATTTACATGTTTTAGGCAGGTAATATGTTTTATCAGAACTGTTTAGAGATAATTGGTAGAAGATTTAATTTCCTTCATTTTGAAGTGCAAGATATTCTTTCTATGAATTCTAATGTTTTAAAAGGGAAAAAACAACCTGCCCTTTCACTTATATATAGAAGACTGTTCTAGCTTTAGTTCTTCACTAATTTACTATATTTTATTAGAAACTGCTTCCATTTTTGGCCTAAGTT
This sequence comes from Homo sapiens, assembly GCF_000001405.40. NCBI lineage: Eukaryota > Metazoa > Chordata > Mammalia > Primates > Hominidae > Homo > Homo sapiens. The sequence continues at coordinate 147,068,156 of NC_000023.11, forward strand.
TGCTCAGCCTGACAACTAAGTCATTGAACTAAGTATTCTAAGATTGAGGTTCAGTATTCTGTGAGTGTCTAACACACAACAAATATATGTGTTGAAAAAATGAATGTATGACTTTATTACCAAGGCTCCCAAAATTTTATCTTGTAAACATCTTATCTTAGTCCCTTTTGTGTTGCTATAAAGGAATACCTGAGAATGAGTAGTTTATGTAGAAAAGAAGGTTTATGTGGCTTTTGATTCTGATGGCTAGAAAGTTCAAGATTTGGCATCTGCTTCTGGTGAGTGCCTCAAGCTGCTTGCATTTATGACAGAGGGCAAAAGGGAAGGTGCAGTGTGTGGAGATCACATGGAGATATAGGAAGCAAGAGAAAGACGGGAGAGGCCATGTTTTTTTTAACAACAAACTCTTGTGGGAACCAATAGAGTGAGAACTCACTCATCTCCTCCCCCAGGCTGAGCATTTATTTATGAAGGATCTGCCTCCCCCGTGACCCAAACCCTTCCCTCTAGGCCCTAATCGTAACATTGAGGATTAAATTTCAATATGAAGTTTGTAGCAGACAGAAATCCAAATCACAGCACATCTTTTGAACCTCCTTTCTCTTCTTTTTTTAACTACCATTTTTGAAGTAAGACTTGAACAATTGCAATGGTCTTTGAAATAGTTTTTCTGCCTCCAGTCTCACAGTGCTCCAAAGTTTTTCCGTGTACCGGTGTACCACTCCCTTAATAAAAACTCCTCAGAAGAAACCTACATGATTTAGAAAAAGTTGAAAACTACTCATCACGGACTAAAAGACCTTTCATGACCTGGTTTCAAGCAATGCTCAATAGAGCATTATTTAACATTCCATGAAAGTATAAATTTTATATGCTAGAACTTTTGTACACCTTAATTCTAATTTCTGGATCAATCCCCCTCTCTCATTCTCTCTCTCACCCCACTCCTCTAAGCCCAAGGAGACACTGAATATCTCAGTTTGTGTCAACTGTCTACCTCCACAAAAAACACTATGATCATAAGCATAGTGATACACAACAAACATATTGTTGTTAAAAATCATCCTTATTAGTCAAGTAGGCAATCCTCAGAAGAGGAGTGCTATGCAAATAATTCAAATGAGTGTCTATTATAATTATGATTTCAGACTATGAGTGATCATTATGTATGAGAAACAGCTTTAATAATACTGCTCCAAGCCCCTAATTTGGGGAATTTTTATCAAGATTATAAGTAAATAATACCCTCTTCCCTGACCAAGTTATGAGCCAATTGAGAGACAAGACAAATAATTCACAGAAGCTGGCCAAAATATCACCTTCATTATTAGTAAAGCTCTTATTAGATAATGTACCTTATATCTGCAATAAAAAAGTAGACTACTTAATCCTAAATCCCATAACTAGGCAGATTTGTCTACCCTGTCATTGGCAGCAGTAAATTAGGAAAGGTATTCCAATGGGGGGAGCAAATTCCCCATTGTGTTAGTCTGTTCTCACGTGGCTATAAAGTACCCAAGTGTTGGTAATTTATAAAGGAAAGAGGCTTAATTGACTCACAGTTCCACATGGCTGGGGAGGCCTAAGGAAACTTACAATCATGGTGGAAGGGGAAGCAGGCACCTTTTTCACAAGGCGGCAGGAGAGAGAGTGTGCAGGAGAAAAAAAACCACCATTTATAAAACTGTCAGTTCTTGTGAGAATTCACTATCATCAGAACAGCATGGGGAAGAATGTCCACATAATCCAATCCCTTCCCTTCTTCAGCACGTGGGGATTACAATTTGGGATGAGATTTGGGTGAGTACACAGAGCCAAACCTTATCATTCATTAAGATTTACAATATAAAAGGAACACATGAAAATAGACGCTTCCCATAAAATACTCTTCAGAGAGACTGGAGAGGAAGGGGCAGGGCTATTCATGTTCAGTTCCCCATCTGACTCATTCATTAGTAAACAGGAAATACATTTAGAAAGACTGAGTAAGTTTCCTCTACACGAAAACAGCATCAGGAGAAAAAAATAAATCCATAAGTGTTTACCCATAATGCCACCAAAAACTTACTAAATCACTGAGTAATTTACAGGAAACTGTCTTTTCAAAGCCTCAGAAGCATCAGTTGTTCCTAATGCACAGGCAGGTTTGGCAAATTCTATACTGCCTCACGGAATTAAGTTTGTATTGTATTCCGAGAGAACCCTGAAAAACTCTTAAGGGTCTTGATTAATTGAATAACAAAGTTTTATTTTGTAAAGGATCAATGTACATTTGTGTGAAAAACCTGTATCAACGATATTGATTAAGTGCCTATGATCTACTGTCATGTTTTTAAAACTTTTCCACATTCTCAGTAAACATAGAAAATGTTAATAATTAGTGTAAAATAGTAGAGCAAATAGATATAGCTGCCACAGACTAGATGGACCACCTTAAGCACAAAATGTATTACATCGTGTCAGTTATAATGACCTGTTCACACAGAAGTTAAGGGTGTCTTACGTAATGCAAGTTTTGGTAAATTGGGATAAAAGTAAATACTTGCAACAGTGCCGCTCCTGACAGAAAGCATTCAGGTTACTTTAAAGGGTTATGTCATTGTTATTGTAGCATTGATCCATGTAAATCAGAACTTTTTTTTTTAATGGCTATGAGTATGGAATCTAACAGAGATTCTTCAATAATATATGAGGTAACATGACATTCTTTCAAACAGAGATTTGATTATCAGGTTTCTTATAAATCAGAAGATTTATATGGGTCAATGCTTTATATGGGTCAGTGCTGGAATATCAATGACATAAACCCTCATGAAGATTACAGTTAGAAACTACAGACATTAAAATAAATATTGTATAAATAAATAAAATTATTGTAATTACTAAAAAGTAAAGGTCAAGTGCACAAATATGGCATGGTAGATAACCCAATATATATGAATATATACTAGTCAAGCAAAAATGAAAGGAAAGAATGTGCCAGACTCCAATAAACAGCATTTGTAAAAAATCTGAGATAAGAACTTAACCAGTTTGAGCAACTAATAAATGTCTCATGTGATTTAACTGTATCATATCTATCGAGAATGGAGAGGACTGACATAAAATGAAGGTAAGAAAGACAAGGGCCAGGCCATGCAAAGCCTTATAGACAAAGTTAAAAAGTTTGAGTTTTGTCCTAAACCCAGTGGAAAGCCATCAGAGGACGTTAAGAAGATGAGTGGCGTGGTATAATTTACATGTATTAAAGAATCGCTCTTTAGTAGTGTTGACTGGCCAGGCCAAGAGTGCTAGTAGGAATTTCGATTAGAAGGCAGTTGCAGTTATCCAGATGAGACATCATATTAATGGGGCAATAATATTACAGGAGAAGATAGAGCAATAGTGACACTAAATATATATTTTGTTGGTATAGTGTATAGAATTTTACAAGATATTGTTTGTGGTGGTAACAATGAGATAGTCATGTAGTTTACAGGAAAAGCGACAACACAGAAAGTGGTTGTAAATTTCCTTTCATGTCTATGATATGGAAGGTAACGGAGATTCTTCATTAATATATGAGGTAACCTGGCATTCTCTCAGACAGAGATTTGATTATCAGGTTTTTGAAATTTTCTCATAAATGTATACAGTTATAAATCATACCATGTGTATACATATGTATACACACACACAGACACACACACAAAGAATTATCTTATGTGATTCTGGGTGATGGCCTGGCCCCAGGTAGAATTTCTTCTCTCCTAGAGGATCCTCAGCCTGGCTTTTGAGGCCTTCCAAATTATCCAGTTAGGCTCACACAAATCATGCAGAATAATCCTCCTTCCTCATGGGAAACTGATTAGAGGCTTTAATTGCATCAGCAAATTTTTTTCCCAGTATCACCTCGATTTCCATTTGACAGAATAACTGGGGACTATAGCATGGCCAAATTCACCCATCAAAAATACCATTATTGTACCTGCAAAATCATTGTTTCTTGAAACATTTTATGTGTGGCTCTTGTTGGAAATCTACAACCCTACAATTCATGTTACCTTCATTATGTCATGAGAGTGATATAATTGACATTTCAGCCCACAGACTGGGCAATTAAAAGATCTCATTGAATTTTCTGCAGAGTTCTCTGGCTACACATCTATACCTTGTCTTTAGGCACCTGCTTTCTTTTTCTTTTTATATTTTCTCAATTAAATTTTGAAATTTAAACTTTAAGGGAAGGTAATAACCTGAATGGAAGTGGAGGGAGAAGAAAATATGGAGGGATAAGAAGATACACAACATTTATCTCAAGAAATGTAAAAGTAAACTTACAAAAATTGTAAAGCACTCTCTGAGTGGTGATAAGCAACTTTCTGAAGTTACACTAATTCTATTCAGGCTCCAAAGTAGTTGACCTCCATAACTCCATTTTATCTCACTGAAGTCTCACATACCCTAAGGGTGGTCATTTTACCCCATTTTATAGAGGGTCTGAACATTAAAATCATTTCTCCAAAGTCACAGTATTTTCAACTTAAACTCACCTTTGATTCTCCATCCAATTGCTTCAACTCTATAAATTTTCAACTGGGCTTTGTGGAGTGTTAGAAATTCTGTGGAGACGTCTCAGTAGCCACTATGGAGAAGGAATATGGGGAAGGCTGAGCAGTTTTTCTCTCACTTATTTTGCATTTTGGGCTCTCCCCTTTGGTCTGTGGAAGCCCTCTCATGTACTTTTGAAAACTGCCTCCTACTCCATCCGTAGAGTCATTATAGTGCTGTCATGTTAATAGCACATGATTATAGTCACGTGTCACTGTTGCACAACTTCCTCTTTAGTTCAGCTAAAAACAGAGTCCTTGTCAAATGACCAGGAAGGATTAGGCTCGCAGACACATAGAAGGGTTAGAAAAATGGAATTTATTGGGTGAAAAGGAAAAAAACTCAGGAAAGCGAGATAGATTACTATTAACAGTCCCCCATCTCACAGATTGAATTCCAGGTTACTACCCTGGAACGGGAGAGACCAGGCTCCTCCCCGCTGAAAAATGAGGAAAAACATGAAAAAGGTTTTTCCATGGCTACACCCCAGTGTGCATTTCTCCCAGTGCACAGGCCAGTGGGAGGTTCTGCAGGGACTCTTTTATACTTGACTGTCTCCTCCCTTAACAATAAATTTAGCTTCTGACGAATGTGGCTGGGTGTGGTGGCTCACGCCTGTAATCCCAGCACTTTGGGAGGCCAAGGTGGGTGGATCACTTGAAGTCAAGGGTTCGAGATCAGCCTGGCCAACATGGCAAAACCCCGTTTCTACTAAAAACACAAAAATTAGCTGGGCGTGTTGGCACACACCTGCAATCCCAGTTACTTGGCAGGCTGAGGCATGAGAATTGCTTGAACCCAGGAGGTGGAGGTTGCAGTGAGCTGAGGTCACACCACTGCACTCCAGCCTGGGTGACAGAGCGAGACTCTGTCTCAAAAATAAAAAAACAAATTCTGCCAAATGTAGCATTCGGTCTACATTTCGTCATTGTGTGAACATTATGGAGCATATTTACACAAGCCTAGATGGGCTAGCCTACCACACACCTAGGGCATATAGTTAGCCTATTGCTCGTAGGCTACAAACCTGTAGCCTGTTACTGTACTGAATATTGTAGGCAACGATGACACAGTGGTAAGTATCTGTGCATCTAAACAGAAAATATACAGTAAAAGTGTGATATAAAAGAGAAAAATTCATACACCTGTAGAGGGCACTTACCATGAATGGAGCTTGCAGCACTGGGAGTTTGGTTGCACTGGTGAGTAAGTGGTGATGAGTGTGAAAGCCCGGGACATTACTGCACACTACTGCAGACTTTATAAACACTGTACACTTAGGCTACACTAAACTTATAAAAAGTATTTGTCAATAATAAATTAACCTTAGCTTACTGCAACTTTTTTATTTTATAAACTTTTTAATTTTTTTAACTTTTTGCTCCTCACATTTAGTTTAACACGTACATCATATAGCTGTTCAAAATATTTTCTATCTTTATATTTTTATTTTATAAGCTTCGTTCTATTTTCATTTGTTTTTACTTTTTAAACTTTTTTTTTTGTTGTTAAAAACTAAGGCACAAACGCACACATTAGCCCAGGGCTACACGGGGTCAGGGCCATCAATACGAATCTCTTCCACCTTTACATCTTCTTCCACTGGAAGTTCTTTTGGGGTATTAACATACATGGAGCTGTCTTCCCCTGTGATAACAATGCCTTCTTCTGGAATATCTCCTGAAGGACCCATCTGAGGTTCTTTTTCTTTCTTTTTTTTTATTATACTTTAAGTTTTAGGGTACATGTGTACAACGTGCAGGTTACTTACATATGTGTACATGTGCCATGTTGGTGTGCTGCACCCATTAACTCTTCATTTAACATTAGGTATATCTCCAAATGCTATCCCTCCCCGACCCCGCACCCCACAACAGGCCCCAGTGTGTGATGTTCCCCTTCCTGTGTCCATGTGTTCTCATTGTTCAATTCCCACCTATGAGTGGGAACATGCGGTGTTTGTTTTTTTGTCCTTGCTATAGTTTGCTGAGAATGATGGTTTCCAGCTTCACCCATGTCCCTACAAAGGACATGAACTCATCATTTTTATGGCTGCATAGTATTCCATGGTGTATATGTGCCACATTTTCTTAATCCAGTCTATCATTGCTGGACATTTGGGTGGGTTCTTTTTCATCAATGTTTTAAGAACACATAAATGGAAGTTTGCTTCGGTTATCTACTTTTTCATCATTGATTTGCTTGTAAGCAACTAATGCACGATGCATATTCCTCTCTATTAATGAAAGCATTTGGATGTTGGGGTCCATGTTTTCAAACTTTTTAAGAAGGTTGCTGAGGTCTGCAAAATTTCTGTTAAACCTTCACTGTGATTTTTCCTGGGGATTCTTCTTTTTCTTCCTTTGAAGTTTTCTTTTCCCTTGTCTCTTCTTCAGCTATGCATTCCTGTTCCAAGAAATCATTAGTCAACTACTTAGGAACCATCTCTAGGGGCTTCTCATTGTCATTTTCATTCAAACCCAGGTATAAGTTGCTTGCTCTCTCAACTACAGCCTTCTAGGGTTTTGCAAACTCCATCGCATATGTGGTCTGGACTATTGCTGACCAAACTTTGTTATGCAGTGCATGACTGTATACCCGTGGCCACTTTATAGTACCAAAGGTGTGTACCAACCATACCTGGCCAAACACTTTTTTCCTTAGTTCTTCATGCAACTGAAAATAATAGATTTGTTCAGTGGTGCAGTCATTTCACCTATAATGTGCAAGTCAAATGTCTTTATCAGATAATTTTGATTTGAAGTCGATGGAATCAAGTTTTATTTTTTAGACACTGGGACTCTGGAATACGAGGAGCCTGAGTAGCAAAGGGTGGTCATCCACCTCACAAAGTGAAGCAGTCAGAATTAAGCAGGAAAAAAGACTGAACGTTCTGATACCATTTATGCTCTGAGTTACAGCTGTGGCCAGGGGATGATTGCATTATTGTCCTTGGTTTCTATGATACGAGCCCCAGGTTTCCTTTATAAGCTATTCTTTTTTTTTCTTAAGCTACTTCATTGCAAGTTTGTAATAATTACAACTTAAGTTTCTAAGCAAATGTTCTCTGTAATAAAAAGAATCAATTTATCTATCATCTATCCATTTAAAATTTTAAAATCACTGAACTTCATAGAACTCCATATAAAATAATCCAATATTTCTAAAGCTTTATGTATTTGAACACTGTAGCCACTGAATATAAATTCAGATTTCCAGGCCCCACCTGCAGATGGGGGTTAGAGAAAAATAAATTTTAATCAACTACCTAATTCAATGGTGGTAAATGACTCAATTTTGAAATAAACACTGCCATTATTTCTTTCTTGAATTTTGTGCAACATATTCAATATTTTCAACAGCATTTGCCTTGTATTATTTATTTGATCATGATAACAAAATTGGTCAGCATTTCTCAAAGTTTATTCTGTATAACATTAGTTCCCTGCAATGTTCTACAAAATTATAGTAAGATAAAAAGATCTCATGGCCAAATACATTGGGAAATGCTGCACATTTATATTTCTTTAATGGACAGTCACAATACATATCTATACTTTACGAGTATAGGAACCCCTGAGGCAAATAAGCCTATTTATTTTTGCTTAGTTTGGCAGTTTTAAAAATTCAGTTGATCACTTAACACACTTTAGCAAATGCTGGAAGAATATTAACACACAGAGATTTCGTGAGCAGAAATCAATCATAAATCATTATCCTTTGAGCCTCTGCATATAATAGCTGAAGGTACTGTAGTTTCTGATGGTCATTGGGAGCTCATCTAAAAAAAAATGTGTAGATTATAACATTGTGCTAAGAAGCAGAAAATACCTGATTTAGCTCTGGAAATGGAACAGAATTGAGAGCCTACAAACTGCCTTAACATATATGTGAGGACTTGAGATCAAGACCATATTTTTGTGAGTCTAATTTGTACAATTTTTGGAATTAAACTGCACAGAAATAGTGATTTATTATATGTTCAATGGCGTGCCATTGACAATTATGTTTTTGTTTTTCTCTCTTAATAGTACTTCCCTGAAACAAAGTACCTATATCAAAGCTTTTCTGTCATACTCTGTTTTATGTTTTCTTGGATGGGGAGTTGGAGGAGGGACCTAAGCTTAGAAATATCTGAAACAGAAGATAGGGAAAGATTGGAGATGATTTTTAGAATCTGAATGATAGGTATTATGATGATTAATCTTAAGTGTCAACTTGACTAACCTAAGAGCTTCCCAGATAGCTGGTAAAACATTATTCTTGGGTATGTCTTCGAGGTTCTTTCGGAAGAAGATTAGCAATTGAATCAATAGACTGTGTAAAGAAAATCACCCTCACCAAAACAGGTGGCCGTCCAATCCACTGGGATCAGAACAGAGCATAAAAGTGGAAGAAGGGTGAATTCCTTCTCTCTGCTTGAACTGAGACATCCATGTTCTCCTACACTTGGACATCATTGTTCCTGCTTTTCAGGCTTTTGGATTCCATCCAGGACTTACACCATCAGCTTCCCAGGTTCTCAGGCCATGGTACTTAGTCAAGGACTTACACCGTCACTCTCCCTGTTTCTGAGGCCTGGACTCTGACTGAATTATACCACAGGTTTTCCTAGTTTTCTGACTTACTGCCATTAGATCTTGCAGCTTCTATGCTTCAATAATCACATGAGCTAATTCCCATGATAAATGTTATCATATCCATATCTATCAATTTATCTAGATACATAGATACATGCTAGATAGATAGATAGACAGACAGAGAGACAGATATCTCCTGTTGGTTCTGTTTCTCCAGAGAACCTTGTTACAGGTATATCATTTTATTTTGTCTAGTGAGAAAAATGCTCACTTAACCTCTTTGTATTAGTATTCATCCCGCATTTGCTAAAGTGTGTTCAGTGATCAAATACGTTTAAAAATGCCAAGCTAAGCAAAAATAAATAGGTTTATTTGCCTTAGGAGATACTGTACTCTTAGAGTAACAATTATCGATTGTGGAAAATACATGAAAGAAATGTAAGTGTGCAGCATTTCCCAATATATTTTGCCGTGGGATTTTCTTTTCTTATAATTTTACGGATCATTGAAGTAAACCAATGTCCTATGGAACATATTTTAAGAAACTCTGAGTAATACAGTTATCTCTACCATTTTGTATGTTTAAAATATTTCACATATCTCACAAAAAATAAAAATGAACTTAATACTGTATAACTCTGAACCTAATAGTAGAGGTTCTGGAGTCAGGTTGCCTTGGTTTAAGTTAGTTCTGCTGTTTATCAACTATGTAAACTCATAATTAAATTAAACTCTCTGACTCTGTCACATATAAAAATTGAGAGTATAGTAGATAATACTCACATAGCATTTATTATGTGCCAGACCCTGTTTAAGACTTTTATATATGTTGTAACTAATTCAATCCTCATAATTCTACCAGGTAGGTACAATTACAAGCATAGTCCATTGTTTAAAGACAAGGACATTGAAGTTAAAGGAGTTCAGTCACACATCAAGGAAGTAACCCAGAAAAGACTTAACCCAGTCTGGCTCCAGAGTCTATGCTCTTAAGCACCATACACTATGCTACATCTCTAATAAAAAAAAAACAAATACCTAATTCACATAATACTCCATAAAGTATGCAATTATTATTTGCCATTTTTTAAAAGAACCCGAATCAAAGATTCCTTAAATTTACTAAATGAGATAATACTCATTAAAGCACTTAGAAATGTTGGCACATAACACTCACTAAATAAATTTCGCTATTTGTCATTATTACTGTTTGTTTGTTTGTTTTTTGTTTTTTTTTCTTGAGACAGAGTTTCACTCTGTTGCCCAGGCTGGAGTGCAGTGGTGCGATCTCGGCTCACTGCAACCTCTGTCTCCCATGTTCAAGTGATTCTCCTACCTCAGCCTCCCAAGTAGCTGGGACCACAGGCGTGTGCCACCATGTCTGGCTAATTTTTGTATTTTTAGTAGAGACAGGGTTTCACTATGTTGGCCAGGCTGGTCTAAAACTCCTGAACTTGAGAACCGCCTGCCTTGGCCCCACAAAGTGCTGGGATTACGGGCTTGAGCCATCGCGTCCAGCTTTATTACTGTTTCTATTGTTACTATTATTTGTGCTGACCAGAAGCAAGTACACTAACTCAAGAATATAATGAGTTTGGGGAATCAGTTGAAAGTACAAGGAGCAATACATTCGTTTTCCGCTTTAAGCGTAGAGTGCTCCTTTTCAGTAGTTTGGATCAAAATATGATAACAGGACATTGATTTATTGAATATTCTCATAAGCATGTTCATGGAACATTCTTCAAAGTGCACTCTGCACAGTTTTAGCAGTTATCTTACATATTTACTACCAAAGAGTAATCTTGGAGTTAGGCAATTTAAGTGTACCTGGAAGTAGTAAATTGCATTACCGTAGAAATGAATTTTTCTCAAATTTGCAGCCATGGAGTTAGTTGAAATATATGCTATAATTATCAAACTATGTATGATGTTTGGAGATAACTTGAAAGAGAGAGAATTATAATTTCTCACCATAGGAAACAACTTCGGCTTTGATTGCTCACTCGCTCATTTTGATTGCCACATATCTTCTCAGAGCATTATTTTGTACAATAACACGGGCAGCTAAAGTAATTATCCATGATCACTTCTTTTTCCGTTCAACATCACTTTATGCTTTAATCGTTCCTAGTAAGGAGTTGAAAATATTTCAAAGTAATAATCTTGTTTATTGTATCTCTTTCGCTGAGCTACGTGGGATATACATTTTAGTGTGTGTGTGCGTGTGTGTGTGTACGCACAGATGTGTATTACAGTGCACATTCTCCATCCTTAACTCAGTTTTAACTCTCAATATGTATGGTGCACACATTCATGTAAGCATGTCCGTGTGTGTGTGCGTGTGTGCGTGTCAGTGTGTGTGCATGTGTGTGCATGCACGCATGTGTGTGTGTTTTAAGGAGAGAGGTGGCATGCAACAGGGTATTTGTTAGCTAATCTGTTTTCAATTGCTGCCATTTGCAAATAAACTAGGATCCTGAAAGGGCATACATTATTTCTGTGTCAACTACTGTTTTTTGTTGTTGCTGTGTTGTGCTTGTTTTTGTTTTTGTTTGTCCAAAATATGGTTAGACTAAATAGAACAAGGACCATGGGCAGATTGCTGAGTAAATATACCTTTTAATTTTAAGACCATTGTTATTGTCAAAGAAAATCACTCTAGGTTTCTTTAGGGTTAGAATATAAGAACCTCAGTTACCTGCAGAACCAATCTCTTACAAATTCCACTTTGTTATAAATACATGACCAATGCTTCAGTCGTTCATTTGGTTTTATTGTCATTGTTCTAAATGGTTGATATTTAGTCTCTCCAGTATGAAATAAAAATTTCAAAACAAAAAGATGAGTAAGCATTATTTTAAGGTCTTTATATCTGTTATTAATTATAGCATCTAAAGCATATTAATGTCTGGAATCAGAGAACAAGAAGGAAGTTTGGATTTCAGATACAATAATTATTAATGTGGCTGCTCATTAAAATCACCTGTAGGACTCGTTAAAACTATGCAGATCCTAGTTTCAAACCTCCCCAAACCTACTAAATTAGGATCTCTGAGGAGACAAGGCTTGGGAATCTGCATTTAAAATTCAGTTCTCCAGATGATTCTCCCAGTCTCCTTGGTAAAGAACCTCTGATCTAGACAAATCCTTTTATAACATAGGTGAAGAGACTGAGGCTCAGAGCAATTAATTCCCTGGTCTAATGTTATACAGTGAGTTAATGACAGAGATGAACTAAAATTTAGCTCTCTTGTCTCTGGACCTATCTCCTGCAGTTTCTCTACTCTGATATATTCCTATTTTAGCAATGAGAGCTCTGCTTCCTTTACAATGCATATGTAAGCGTGACATTAATATTGATTTTCTAAACTGCTGAAATTTTACAGAACTACTTGTACAGGACAAGTGTTGAAAGATAATTAATTTGTAAATAATTTTATAAACCTAATTTATTTTTAACAGCCCTCAGACTCTTCTTGGAGGATATAGATTATGATTTTTCACTTCTAGAACTATTTTCACAACCAGATCATGTTATTTATACATTATTTTTTATTTAAGTAGGTCGCATTGTACAAATCTTATTGTTCTATTATTTGAAAAGTTTTGCAAACTAAAAAATACTTATAATTGTGGTCTTCTAACCAAAGGAATAATACAGTGCATTTGGGGACATATAAAATATACAAAGATAATGAAAACTAATATAGTGTATACATAGAAGAGGAGAAACAGATCACCCTTAAAGTATTCACTATGCACAATTTTAATACATCACTTAGTATATACAAACAATATGATAGGTGCTGGGGTTACAGAGCTTGCCCAAACAATCTTATCATCTTGGTTGTGGGGGCGGACAAGCATATGTATGAATGCTAATAATATAAAATATGTCTAACGATGTCTTAAAGTAAATCACACTGAGGTAGCACTGTTTTAAGGCAGCACTGTTACCTAGTTGAAAGGGCATGAGCCGTGGGGATGAAACACTAGATTTTATCTCCAGAGAGTTGCAAATGAACAACTTAGATTCTAATCAATAATAGGTTATTTTAAGTCGGTGTATTTTGTATCTTGTTTTAAGAAGCTTTTGCTACCTCAGGGTCTAATATATCTTTACTATATTTTTTTACTAAGAGTTAGAAGTTTTTTGATAATTACGTCCATAATCCATCTGGAATTTTTTTTATATAGTGTGAGCAAATAATCCAATTTAAGGGGGGTCTCCCTATGGAAAATTATTTTGTCCAGTTCAGTTTGTTGAACAATCCATTTTCCCCCCACTGACATGACAAGCCAAATATTAATACCCCATCCCACCACATACCTTAAGCATCTTGGTACTCTTCAGGTCTGAAAAAACAAGACCTTCAAACTAATATTGGTGTACAGCCTCACACACAAAAAAGGTTTTGCATAGATCATTTCATCCTATAATCATACTATAACAATAATAATGACTTATTTTTTGTTTTTGGATATTTCCCAAAATATAGATGGATATAGTCAGAAAAAGATTTAGAAAAGGAGAGCAAGATAAAAGTTAATTTATAACAAGATTTTTAATAAGATTTTGCATTCTCAAAGCAGATTAATAATGATAAGTGAGATGAGTCTGAATCTAAACTCATGAAGGAAAGTTATTCAGAAAATTGGGCTAAAATCCCAAATGAATAGTTCATATGGGAAGTTCTGCAGATATGTTCAATAGAATTCTGTGAAACATGTTTGATAATAAATGGCAAAAGCTTTCATTTCTTCTGATAAGAGATCTGTAATTGCTTTTTTGGGTTCTTTACATTCATGATAAGAATCCTAAGACCTTGCAGTTCACACAAGGAAAGAGAGTGATGGTTATGTAGCAATGATTACTGATATTGTTTGGATATGTGTCCCTTTCCAAATCTCATGTTGAATTGTAATCCCTAGTGTTGGAGGAGGAGACTGGTGGGAGGTGTTTGAATCATGGAGGCAAATTTCTCCTTTGCTGTTCTTGTGATAGTGAATGATTTCTCACTAGATCTGGTTGTTTAAAAGTGTATCACCTCCCACTTCTCTCTCTCTTTCTCTTTCTCCAGCCATGTAAGACGTGCCTTCTTCCTCTTTACCTTTTGCCATGATTGTGTGTTTCCTGAGGCCTCTCCAGCGTGCTTCCTTTATAGCCTGTGGAATCATGAGTCAATTAAACCTCTTTTCTTTATGAATTACTAAGTCTCAGCGAGTTATTTATAGCATTGTGAAAACAGACTAATACATTTGGGAGCAGAGAAGTGGGGCATTGCTATAAAGATAACTAAAAATGTGGAAGCAACTTTGCAACTGGGCAATGGGCAGAGGTTGGAAAGTTTGAAGGTCTCGTAAGGTAGGAAGATGAGGGAAAGTTTGAAACTTCCTAGAGACTCGTTGAATGGTTGTGACCAAAGTGCTGATAGTTATGTGGACAGTGAAGTCCAGGCTGAGGTAGTCTCAGGTGGAGATGGGAAACTTATTGGGAACTGGAGTAAATGTCACTCTTGCTGTGCTTTAGTATCCAGACTGACAACATTGCTCCCCTGCTCTTTGGGATCTTTGAACTTGAGAGAGATAATTGAGGATATGTGGTGGAAGAAATTTCTAAGCAGCAAAGCATTCAAGACATGGCCTGGCTGCTCCTTACAGCATCAGCTCCTATTCGTGAGCAAAGAGATTTTCTGAACCTGGAACTAACATTTAAAAATGAAGCAGAGCATAAAAATTTGGGAAATATCAAGCTTAACCACGTGGTAGAAAAGAAAACCCAATTTTCTGGGAAAGAATTCAAGGCTGCAGAAATTTGCGTAAGTAAAGAGAAGCCGAAGGTTAATAGTTAAGACAATGGAGAAAATGCCTCCAGGGCATTTCAGTGACCTTTGTAGCAACCCCTCCCATCACAGGACTGGAAGCCTAGGAGGGAAAAAAATGATTTTCTGGGCCAGACCCAGGGCCCTGCTGCTCCGTACAGCCTCAGGACATGGCGCTTTGCATCCCAGCTGCTTTAGCTTTAGCTGTGGCTAAAAAGGACCAAGCTACAGTTTGGTCCCTGGCTTCAGAGGCTGCAAGCCCCAGGCCTTGGCTGCTTCCATGTAGATTAAGCCTGCGGGTGTGCAGTGGACAAGAGTTGAGACTTGGGAGCCTCCCCATAGATTTCAGAGGATGTGTGGAAATGCCTGGATGTCCAGACCGAAGTCTGCTTCAGAGGTAGAGCCCTCATGGAGAACCTCTACTTGGGCAGTGCATAGGGGAAATGTGAGAGGTTGGATCCCCCACACAGTTTCCACTGAGACACTGCCTAGTGGAGTTGTGAGAAAAAGACCACTGTCCTCAGAACCTAGAATGGTAGAACCACAGACAGCTTGCACCATGCACCTGGAAGGGCTGCAGACACTCAACACCAGCCTGTGAAAGCAGCTACAGGGTTTGTACCTTGCAGAGCCACAGGGGCTGAGCTGCCCAAGGCCGTGGGGAGCCCTTCCTTCTTCGTATCAGTGTGCCCTGGATATGAGTCCTAGTGTCAAAGAAGGTTATTTGGGAGCCTTAAGATACAATGACTGCCCTGCTGAGTTTCAGACTTGCATGGGGTCTGTAGTCCCTTTGTTTTGGCCAATTTCTCCCTTTTAGAAAGGGACTATTTATCCAACGCCCATATCCTTATTGTATCCTGCAAATAACTAACTTGTTTTTTATTTTACAGGCTTATAGGCATAAGGGACTAGTCTTTTCTCAGATGAGACTTTGGACATTAACTTTTGAATTAATACTGAGATAAATTAAGACTTGGAGGACTGTTGAGAAGGAAGAATTGTATTTTGCAATATGAGAAGAACATGAAGTTTGGCAGGGGCCAGGGGTGGAATAATATGATTTGAATTTGTTTCCCCACCTGAATCTCATGTTGAATTGTCATCCCTAGTGTTGGAGGAGGGGCCTGGTGGGAGGTGATTGGATCATGGGGGTGGATTTTCCTCTTGCTTTTCTTATGACAGTGAGTGATTTCTCATGAGATCTGTTTATTTAAAAGTATACCTCCTTCTTCACTCTCTCTTCCTCCTTATCTGGCCATGTAAGATGTGCCTCCTTCCTTTTTGCCTTCTGCTGTAAGTTTCCCGAGGCCTCCCCAGCCATGCTTCCTGTACAGACTGTGGAACCATGAACCAATTAAACCTTCTTTCTTTATAAAATACCCAGTCTCAAGTGTGAGACTGGACTAATGAAATTACCATAAGCGTAGGAAATGGTGGTAGAGCTGAAATGTTAGGTATTCTGGCTGATGGAAAAAGCATACATATGAAGCTCTTAGTTTATATCTTTAACAATATGAAGAATGACACACCGTATCTTTGATAATCTTTGTTCCATACTTTAGAAATAACACTTCAATTTGTGTTGAACTTAGAACGTATTTCAGGACAATAAGACATCAGAAGCAGGTAACAGAAATAGAGGTCAGGGTAAACTGTGCCTACAATGTTTCCAAAAGTTCTCAAACCAATGAAAACAGCTGGAATGCTAAAATTAGGAATTATAATGCTAATAATTTCTTTAATAATCACTGCTATCACTAGAGATATTACAATTCATAGTGAAGGTAACAGAGTATGGTAGTTAGGAGAGGGTTGATGAAGGCAGAGTGTCTGTGTTCAAATCCTAGTGTTTTAAATGACTGCCTGTGTCACTGTGGGCAAGTTATTTAACACCTCTTCATCTCAGATTTTTTAAATCTGAAAAAATGTGGATGTTGATACCAGACCCTCAAAGTTGTGAGGATTAAATAAGATAACATGAAGAGTAATCAATATCTAGCACTTAGTAAGAATGCTGCTACTACCAGTGTTGTTGTTGTTATTGCTTTTCTTGTAATTATAATTACTATTAGGGAAGGCTGATGCAAAGAAGAAATAAAATGTTAGCTAAACTGGGAGTTAAGAATATGTGTAGTTATAGGGAAGCTAAATTTAAAGTACCAAGTGAATTGTTAATGGTCCATTTAAAACAAAACAGAAAGCAATGTTAGAACCATTTGGCATTGTAAGTTTTCCTGGTATGAGTGATGTGCAAGGAATCAATTACACTAGCACAGTTAGTATTGAGACTAGGAAATAAGTGTCTAGGATTTTGTGGCTAGCATGTAACAGGCACTTAGTAGCTTTTTAAAAATGAATTGATGAACAAGTAAGCAAAAGAAAAAATGAAGTAAGACTACTCAAACATAAACGTCCACTTTGAGGAGTAATGAAAAAATTAGTGAATATGAACTCTATTAGAAACCAGAGCAAGAGAAAGAAATAAAAGGCATCCAGATAGGAAAATAAGAAGTGAAACCATCTTTCTTCACTGATGATGTAATTCTTTACTTAGAAAACTCTAAAGACTCTGCCAGAAGTCTACTAGAACTGATACATGATTTTCACAAGGTTTCAGGATACAAAATCAGTGTACAAAAATCAGTATAATTTCTTATTTAAAATTGATTTTTACTTTTAATTTTTGTGGGTACGTAGTACATGCACACATTTATAGGGTACATGGGATGTTTTTATACAGGCATGCAATGTGAAATAAGTGCATTGTGAAGAATGGGCTATCCATTCATCAACCATTTATCCGTTGAGTTGCAAACAACTTAATTACACATTTTAAGTTATTTTAAAATGTACAATTAAGTAATTATTGTATATAGTCACCATATTGTGCTATAAAATAGTAGACCTCATTTATTTTTTCTATTTTTTGTACCTGTTAACTATCCCCACCTCCTGCATAAGCCCCCCAATACCATTTCTATGCACTAATAACATCCAGGCTGAGAGTCAAGTTAAGAACACAATTTCATTTGCACTAGACACAAAGAAAATAAAATATCTAGGAATATAGCTGATCAAAAAGATAAAAGATCTCCACAAGGAGAACTATAAAACACTGCTAAACCTTAACTCCATGACCTCACTTTTTAAATCTTGTTGTTTTTAATTATATCTTATTGCACTGACTGTGTCTTGGAAAGTTGTAGCTATTATTTTTGATTGGTTCATCTTTTAGTCTTTCTAATTTGGATATCGGCAGTTTACAAACCACTGTTACAGTTACTATATTGTGTTTTTTGGTGTATTTATTATTACCAGTGAGTTTTGTACTTTCAAGTGATTATTTATTGTTCATTAATGTCCTTTTCTTTGTGGTCGAAGTACTCTCTATAGCATTTCTTATAGGACAGGTTTGGTGTTGATGAAATTCCTTCGGTTTTGTTTGTCTGGGAAAGTTTTTATTTTTCCTTCATACTTTAAGGATATTTTCACCAGATACAGTATTCTAGGGTAAAAGCTTTTTATTCTTCCGTATTTTAAGCATGTCATGCCACTCTCTCCTGGCCCGTAAAGTTTCCACTGAAAGTCTGCTGCCAGACATATTGGAGCTCTATTTTATGTTATTTGTTTATTTTCTCTTGCTGCTTTTAGAATATTTTCTTTATCACTGACCTTGGGGAGCTTTATTATTAAATGCCCTGAGGTAGTCTTCTTTCTGTTAAATCTGCTTGGTGTTCTATAACTTTCTTGTACTTGGATATTGACATCTTTCTTTAGGTTTGGGAATTTCTCTGTTATTATCCCATTGAATAAACTTTCTACCCTATCTTTTTCTCTGCTTCCTCTTTAAGGCCAATAACTCGCCCATTTACTTGTTTGAGGCTATTTTTCTAGAGTCTTTAGGTATGCTTTCTTTTTTTTCTTTTCTTTTCTCTGACTGTGTGTTTTCATATAGCCTGTCCTCAAGCTCACTAATTCTTTCTTCCACTTGATCAATTCTACTATTAAAGGGCTGTGATGCATTCTTCAGTATGACTATTCCATTTTTCAGTTCTAGAATTTCTGCTTGATTCTTTTTAAAAATATTTTGATCTCTTTGTTAAATTTATCTGTAGAATGTGGAATTCTTTCTCTGTGTTATCTTCAGTTTCTTTCAATTTTCTCAACACAGCTATTTTGAATTCTCTATCTGAAAAGTCACATATCTGTTTCTCCAGGGTTGGTTTCTGGGGGCTTATTTACTTCATTCTGTGAGGTCGTGTTTTCCTGGATGGCTTTGATCTTAGTAGATGTTATTAGATGTTATTTGGTGTCTGGGCATTGAATAGTTAGGTATTTATTGTGGTCTTCAACATCTGGGCTTATTTGTAGCTGCCCTTTTTGGGAACAATTTTAATATATTTGAAAGGACTTGGGTGTTGTGATATATGCTGTATCTGCTTTAGGGGGCACCTCAAGCCCAGCAATAATGTGGTTCTTGCACACTGGTAAGAGGTACCACCTTGATGGTCTTGGTCAAGATCCAGGAAAATTCTTTGGATTACCAGGAAGAGACTCTTGTTCTCTTCTCTCACATTCTCCCAATCATACAAAGTCTCTCTTTCTATTCTGAACCACCTAAAGCAGAGGGTGGAGCGATACAAGCACCTCTGTTGCCATCACCACTATGACCATGCTGCATCAGACCTGAAGCCAGCACAGTGCTTGATTTTGCCCAAGTACTGCTGTAACCACTCCCTGGCTACTGCCTATGTTTTCTCCAGGCCCTGGCCTTACACAATCAACAGGTGGCAAAGCCAGCCAGGCCTGTGTCCTTCCCTTCAGGGTGACAAGATCCCCCCAGCCCTGGGTGGATCCAGAAGTGCAGTCTGGGAGTCAGGACCTAGAGTCAAAAACTTTAGAAGCGGCACCCAAACCACAGGATGCAGTCCTTCCCACTCTTCCATCTCCTTTCCAAACGCAGAGGAGCCTCACCCCATAGTCACTGCCAACCCCAGCCACAAGGAGTACTGCCAGATTACCACTGATGTTCCTATAAGGCCCGAGGTCTCTTATGTCAGCTTGTGGTGAATGCTGCCTGGCCTGGGACTCACCCTTCAGGGTAGTAGTCTCCCTTCTGGCCCAGGGAATGCCCAGAAGTGCCATCTAAGATTTAAGTTCTAGAATCAGGGACCCCAAGGGCCTGCTTTTTGCTCTAACCGCCCCTACCCCGCCCATCACCACCACCACACACACACACACACACACACACACACACACACCGTGGCCATGCTGGTACCTAAGGTGCAAGACAAAGTCCCATTTACTTTTCCTTTTGCTTTTCTGAAGCAGGAGGAGTTTTGCCCCATAGCTACCACAGCTGGTAATAAGTTGAGTTTCACCTGAAGCCAGCAATTCTCAGAGGCTCACCAAACTCTTTCAGTGTAGGACCTGGGTATCGCTGCTGGTTATTCAGGGCCCAAGAGCTCTTCAGTTAGCAGATGATGAATGCTGCCAGGACTTGGTCTTCTCCTTCAAGGCAGTGCGTTTTCTTCTGGCCCAGGGTGTGTCCGGAAACATTGTCCGGGAGGTAGGGCCTGCAAATTATTGTCTGAGAGCTAGGGCCCCCATGGAGGCCTCGTGACTCTCATAAGTGCCCTATCCTGCTGTGACTGAGCTGGTAACTTATTTGCAAGACAAAGTCCTCCCCACTCTTTCGTCTCCTTCCCTCAAGGTAAAAGAAAGGGGTCTCTTTTGGATTCGCAGACTGTGCATCCTGAGAGTCGTGATGCCAGTACTCCCTTGGCTGCCCCAGCTGGCTAGTGTCTCAGCATGTCCTATGCCCACTCAGTCCACTGTCTCTAGGCCTAGTTTAGCACTAGGAATAGCCTAAGAATTGCAGTCCTTATGGGCTAGACTGCCTTTCAAGTTTAATTGAAGACACATGTTGATGTAGCCCTCAGTGTCAAGGTTTGCAGACACTCAAGTTTAGACTTGATTTAGAAAAAGTTTATCAAAAAATGCAGAGACTCATGATCACCTAGCTAAAGACTGCTGTTATGCCTGGAGAAGAGGAGTTAATGGGCCAGAGAAAATTACACAAGGGTCTCCACTGAATCAGTAACATTTTATTTCTAAATAGTAAAACAAGATCAAATAAAAATTTTAGTCAATTATGGCTAAATGACAATATATATCAAAAGTGTGGGAGGAGTATGAATGTTCATTAAAATATTATCTCTGTCCCCTGTAAGTCTCAAATCGTTTATTACTATGGAAACTAATTTTTTTAATATAAAAAATCTACATTATCATTTTAATTTTAAAAATTAAACATTATTGACTGTGCTATGGACTGAATTGTGTCTCCCTGCTCAAATTCACATGTTGAGGCTTTAGCCTCCCCCTCCATTCCACCCATGAAACTATATTGGAGGTAGGGCCTTTAAGGATGTTAAAGGAAGTTTTAAGGGTAGAGCACAAATCCAGTGGAACCGGTGCCCTTATGAAAAGAGGAAGACACACCAGAGATCTCTCTCCATTATATGAAGACACAGCAAGAAGGTAGTAAGTCAGGAAGAGGATCCTCACCCAAACCCAACATTGCTAATACCCTGGTTTGGGACTTCCAGCCTCCAGAACTGCTCCAGAACTGTGAGGAATCAATTTTTGTTGCTTAAAACATCTGGTATGTGATACTTTGTTATGGCAGCCTGAGCCAACTAAAGCAGACTGTATGGCCACTATATATATATGCATGGCACAGGTATAGATATTTGTGTTGATATGCTTGAACACATACAGGTACTTCTGCATGCTTTTCCGCATCTGTATATGTGCGCATGTGCGTACACACATATGTTCAACTGTAGTACTATATAAAAATACTGTACACACACACACACAGAGATATTGGTTAAATCTGATATAAGAAATTTTCTGAAGTAGAATGTGTTGATATTTCCTTACACCATCATGATTATTTCACATTCTCTCCAGTGAATGCATATTCGTTTTATAAATCAGAATAACTTTTTAAAATTTATCAATTTACTGATATGGATATTTTGCTTATACTAACTAAACATTCAGATAGCAATGGCAAATAAGAAACTGAGCTCACCTAGTTACGGAAGTGACAAAAATTATAAAAGTTCAACTGGATATTAAGTAGCTATGGATTCAGTTTGTGGATAATGATTATACTTATGAACCTTAGTAAGGAGTGAAAATGAGATTTTTTTTTCTCCCTAAGGAAAGAGAGGATAGATTATTATTTGCATGAAAAAAATCCTCTGAAACTTTTTGCATTAAATCATGAAAGCATTATTTCTGGGATTTAGCAAGCAAATTAGAAAGCCTATTACATAAATGCCTTTCTCTGATAAGGCAAATATAATAATCTTCTTTATGAGAATGGCTCATCCTGAGCTTGATTTCCAAAGACAATATCAGAAAGAATTCCCAAGGGCTAGACGCTTTTTATTTTGTAGGTTGACCTTCCTACCTACTCGTGTGTGCTCTGGAATCTCTGCTAAAGTAAGCATCTCTATTAATAAACTTAATTTCCAATTAATATAGCCGACTGAGCTGATGCGGAAAATGATCCTCACCCTGCTACTGAAAGGACAGAAAAATGCAGAATAAATTATTATATTAAATAGTAATCAGCAGATCCTGAAAGCAAAGGACATATCTGTGTGCCAGGAGAAAGGAAAAAAAAAATTAAAGCCAAAGTGTTGATTCCAAAGTGGTGAACCGTAGCTAAGAATGGAAAGTCTGCATCAGATTAGAATGATGTTTTTCAGTACAGGTTTGAGGTTGTGACTCCCCTGTCATGACCAAGGTAGGGAATGCTGTGGAGGCTGTAGGTCCAGGTTGCGGAGATCCGGAATTGTGCTCTTTGCATAAAACCTTGAGCTAGGCAGGGCTGCCCTGTGAAATGTAAAACAAAACCTTAACCAGATGGCCTTTGGATACAGGAAAGCGACTGATTGCCCTTAGTCACTTATGTGGAAAGGGTAATTTATTAGTAGTCAAAATCACAAACCTCTCCCATACACAGGCAATGAGGTCCAAATACTCACTACCCACGAAGTGTGAGAACTCAAAGACTATAAGGTTAAAACCAGTCCATAATAAGTGAAATCTGTTCAGGCCCAGAGAAGCAAATATGGAACTGTCTCATACAGTTGCCTCCCTGGCTAGGGCAGGAAATATTCCAATCGAAAACAACTCCCACTGAAATACAACTCAGAATTTTAAAAATGCAAAGGAAAGCTGGGCATGGTGGCTGGTGCCTGTAATCTCAGTTACTCTGGAGGCTGAGGTGGGAGGTTCCCTTGAGTCCAGGAGTTCCAGACCAGCCTGAGCGACCTAGTAAAACCCCATCTCTCTCTCAAAAAAAATTAAATTTAAATTTAAAAAATACAAAGGGAAAAAAATCGCCATTAGATTTAGTGGAGAAACCCCACAGGAGAGTTCACATGGTGGGAAACAGACATTAGTGTTCCATGAAAGATACTAAAACACTCAAAGAGATAAATAAAAAAAGATTTAGTTTAATTGACTAAAGATTTTTTAATATGAAACACTCTATTAACGCTTGTGTCTGCACCAGGTGATATAAAAGGTTTTGTCTTTTTTATTTTTATTTTTAACCTGAGATATAGTCACAGACAATAAGACACTTAAAATTTACTGAAGGAAAAAATAGCTCATATATTTGAAATGTATTAAAGTTTTCTCTATATATCTTATCTAACTATTCACAACATATGTACAAATATGTGTAAGTAAAAATGTATGCGTGTATAGTGTGAAATTATATGTAATTATATCTGTCTATCTATCTTTATTAACCTCTATGTATCTTTGTGTCTACCTATGAATCTCTTGATCTCTCTGTCTGGGGGATATAGTTATACTGGGGAAGAGAGAGTGTGAGACAGAGAGATAGGAAGACAAAAAGGAGATAGAGATGAGATGCAAAAAATAACAGGAATAAAAATACAGAGAAAGTAAGACATAAGTGTGAAAGGAGGGAGGGAAAGTAAAATATTTAATTTTGTCTAATTAAATCAAGAACAAAATCACAAATCATGAAAGTGTGAAATATTACTCAGCTAGTCTACTCATATGGAAAATAAGAAGCCATTTTCTTTAGATTAGGCAATACACTATGTTTGGCATAAATAAATAGAACTTCATACACAAGAAATATGTGACGTTACTAGCAGTATTCATTCAGCATACCATCTTTCTTCTTTCTCTCATTCAAGATTACTGTCATATCAGATGGACTTCCACCAATGAAATATCAATTTCTCTTTCCCCCTTTTGTATTTCTTGCTCCAGTTCTTGAATTGTAGTTGACAGAATCAGGTCTCCGAGCAATATAGAAAAATTACAATGGAATAAAAATCACATTACATGCTGATAAGATGTTTATACTAATTTTTAAAAAAGAATTCTAAAGCATTTAGAAATGATCACTATTTGTATTTTTTTTTTTTACTAACAGAATGGTTAACTTTGCTTAGACATTTTGCACTTGCATAGTTGCATGTCTATCAACGTAAGGGAATACATTTTAAAAGAAGTTGATAACATTAAACAGTAAATTTTGTTATTTAAAAGCAACTGCAAGTTGGATGTGGTGCTCATACCTGTAATGCCAGCACTTTGGAAGGCTGAGATGAGAGGATTGCTTGAGGCCAGGAGTTAGAGACCAGCTTGGGCAACATAGCAAGCCTATGTCTACACAAAATTAAAATTATTAATTGGGCATGTTGACTTGAACCTGTAGTCCAGGTGCTAGGGAGGCTAAGAAGGGAGGATCACTCAAGACCAGGAGTTCAAGGCTGCTGTGAGCTATGATCAGGCCGCTTCACTTCAATCTGGGTGACAGAGCAAGACTCCGTCTCAAAAAAAAGCAATTTCAAAATGAGACTGTGAGTGATTGATTATATTTTGATAGATTTCCAAATTAAAACATAAGTATCCTATTTTTAAAATAGCACACTACTAGCGTTGGCATCTAAACAAGATAGTAGTTT
Organism: Homo sapiens; assembly: GCF_000001405.40. Taxonomy (NCBI): domain Eukaryota; kingdom Metazoa; phylum Chordata; class Mammalia; order Primates; family Hominidae; genus Homo; species Homo sapiens. Next base: position 147,093,185 of record NC_000023.11, read on the forward strand.
TATGATACAATTTTTAATTTTTTATAAATTAGTAGATTAATAAATATGTCCAGTAATTATAAAAGATGTAACTAGAAACCATGGTTCAGTAAGCCATCTGGTTAAAAATATTTTGTCATCTTTATTACAATTTTGAATATACCCTATCGTTTTCTGGAAATGGGAAAATGCAATTTCTAGAAGAGGACCACCTATAAAATTAAGTACCATAACTTCCTCGTTTCTCAATGTCTGTTTTCTTAATTCAAGGGCAAAAAGAAATTTTATAAGCAATATGTTTCACCATCCACTTTCAGCCATTTCATTTAAGCTATGAGCTTCTGATTTTTATTCATTAAAGGAAAAGGATATGTCCAGAGGAATACAGCCAAAAAAAAAAAAAATCGGAACTTAATTGTCTATGTTTCCTTTTAAAGCATTGTTTTATCTTTTAAAGTGAAAAGGTGTTTTATATAAGGAATACTCCAGATGTGAGACAAAGAGCAGAGTAAATATCAGGAGAGGAATATACTAATATAGATTTCGCATTTAGGATTGTTTGAAACCCATTCTACAGGCAGAAGGAAAGGCCACTCAGGTACAAGATGCTCCAGCATATTAGGTGTGTACCTTTATAGAATTGGAAGAATATGATGAAGAGTGTGGAATCATTCGGGCAACTTCTCTGTACCCTTAGTTCAAGATTGAGTGTAGAGAAGCAGCTATGTGAGTGGAGAAAACCTGGCCTGCCAATGAGTAAACATTCAATAACTCTTCCCAACTTCACCTTAATCAGGTGCAATGTAGTATTTCATAATAGTCTCTTTCTACACAGTTTCTGTACAGATAAACTTTCCAAGCAAACAAAAGAAGGAGGAATAGAAGAAGGCAGAAATATGCTCAAAAAATACCACCCTGGATTTCTTTTTAAAAAATGTGTGTGTGTGTGTGTGTGTGTGTGTGTGTATTATATTACAGCCTTCCAGTTTTTAGGAAGAAATCCAGGATGGTATTCCAGCGCTAAGAATATCTATATATATCTATCTGTCTATCTATCTGTGTGTGTGTGTGTGTGTGTGTGTGTGTGTGTGTGTGTGTTTTCCTTGGCTTAATATTATGGCACAAAGATTACTCTTGGCTTAATGTACCAGGTCCATATATTATATATAATATATATGTATATGTATATATATATGTATATATGTGCATGTATATATATGTGTGTGTGTGTGTATGTATGTATGTGTGTGTATATATATATATATATATATATATATCAGGTCCATGTATATGGACCCAAGATATATTCCCAAGAAAAGATGGGGTATATTCAAAATGTAATAAAGATGACAAAACATATTTTTTAAGAAGACAGCTTACTGAAACTTTTATATTATGTGTTATATATATATATGGACCTAGTACTATATATATATATATATATATATATATATATATATATATATATATATATATATATATTCTATATTATACTTATTTAGGATCATCCCAGTAAAGTCTACAAGGACGAGGTCAGATAAGGAGACATATTATCAGGTTAGGGTACACACACACACACACACACACACGCAAAGAAAGTGAGTCAATGCTTTGAGATAACATAAAATAACTCAGCACTATTCAATATTTTATCGTCTCTGCTCTTTCCCCCAGTATTTCAGTCCTTGTGACAGAGTACTTGCTTGGTGGGCAGGGGAAAAAGAGGTAATATCTTATTTCTGCCATCTGGTGATTAAGCTATTAAGAAAATTATTCAATTAATAGATTGAACATTAATTATATGTGAATCTTGCAGATTCATTGGTTAGTTCTGTTTTACCAAGCATGTACAAAACAGGAAAACAAAGAACAATAAAGCATCAAGGTAGCCAGTTAATCACATTGCTTATCCATTCAGAAACTATTGAGAATTTCAGCTGTGGTGTTCAAAACATGGTCCTAGGATCTTTGTGGTTGTAAATGGAAAACACTGATAATGTAAGCAGGATATAATGTGTCACGTGTATGTAGGATCATTCTGTGTGCTCTGTGGTGGATGGGTTGATGAGTACCAATGTGTGTGACACAGAAAGAATGGATGTAGGAAACTGATTAAGAGGCAGTCATACTTGTGAAAATAAGAAATAACCCTAACTTGTATTAGAATAGCTTTTCTAACATAAACACTATTGACATATTGAGCCAGGTAATTCTTTGCTGTGGGAGGTTATACTGTCCATTGCAGGATGTTTAGTAGCAACCCTGGCCTTCATTAAAGGGCATTACTTGCCAATAACACCCTCTCCACCTGTGACAACCAAACAATGTTTCCAGATTTTGTTAAATGTTCTCTGAATGGGGGCAAAAACATGTCTTAGGTGACAGCCACTGGATGGAAATAATGACAGTGGGATGGCATTAAAGTGAATGGATTCTGCATGAGATTTGATGATAGGACTGATAGGATTTTCTAATGAATTATATGTAAGAGTAAGGAAAATAAAGAAATTAAATTTAAGACAACTCGGGTTTTTGGCCTGGGCAACTGGACAAAGGAATATTCTATTTAATAAGAGGAAAAAGTGGGGAAATGGTAGACAAGGTTTAGCACTTACCAAGTTATACTGAAATGATATGTCTGCACTTCTCAATGGACTGAGTTTCCTGAGAGAATTTTTATATAGCATTCTAATGATCAAAACAGCACCTGGTGTCAGCATGACTGCCAGATGCATTGCACATGGTAAAAAAAGAAAGATTATTCAATTTTTAACTTGGGATATTGAGTGATGGTTGTGTTTCCTAAGATGGAGCCAACTAGAAGTAAACCATATTTGGGACTACAGATTGATGAGTTCAGTATTACACATGTTGATTTGGAGGTTCCTCTTTTTCATATATTGAAAATGTTTAATATGCAAATAGATGTGTTTGAAGTTCAGAAAAAAAGATGTCAGCTAAGAATAGATCTGAGAGTCATCGGCAATTAAATTCTAATTAAATCTATTTGGATAACTGAGATACCCCTGAGAGAGTATAGAGAAGAGAGTAAAAAAGTAGTCCTAGAGAATACAGACATTTAAAGGATGCACAAATGTTGTCCTTAGAAGGAAGCTAAGAAGAGACAGAGAAGAATAAATGTATATGTGAATGTGTGCATGCATGCATACACACACACTGTAATGAGATACAGTAGAATAATATTATTATCATGTAAAACATTCATTGAGTACATGTTATATGTCAAGAGGGCTCCTTATATGCATTACCTCATTAAATCTTTCCTGATAACCCTAAGAGTTGGATAGGTACTATTTTCTCCATTTAACAGGTAAGGACAATGAAATGCAAAAAGGTTAATTAATTTGCCCAAGGTTATCTTAAGTGAAAGCCTGAATTCAAATGGAGTAACTTAGAAGCCTATTCTCTTAACCACGGTGCTCTACACAAGTTAAAAAGAAAAGAGTGTCTTGGAGGAGGAAGTGTTGAATAGTGTTTAGTGCTAAGAGTGTAAGTTACATGAGAACTAAAAAGTGCTCACAAGACTTAGCGAAAGGAGCTCTGTAGTAAGACTGCTGTTAGACTTACAGAGGTGCTATATAAACAGAGTGAGCTTGGAGTTCATTCAGGTTAAATGAAAGATGAGGAACTTGAGTTAGTGACTGAGGAAAAGTTCTTCAATAGGCTTTACTGAGAAGGTAAGAGAAGAGAAATGGGGTGGGAGACAGATTCCTCAAGACGGAAGGGAATTAAGCATGTTTACTTGTCAATGAGAAAAGTGTCAGGAAAAAGGTAAGAAGTCGAGGAAAAAAAAGTAAATGAAAGATTCAGAAAGTCCTCCAACAGTGAATTTAATCTTCTGTTGCCGGAAGTCAGGGACCCCAAATGGAGGGACCGGCTGAAGCCATGGCAGAAGAACATAAATTATGAAGATTTCATGGACATTTATTAGTTCCCCAAATTAATACTTTTATAATTTCTTACGCCTGTCTTTACTGCAATCTCTGAACATAAGTTGTGAAGATTTCATGGACATTTATCACTTCCCCAATCAATACTCTTGTGTTTTCCTATGCTTGTCTTTACTTTAATCTCTTAATCCCATCATCTTCGTAAGCTGAGCGTGTATGTCACCTCAGGACCCTGTGATGATTGCATTAACTGCACAAATTGTTTAAACAATATGAAATCTGGGCACCTTGAAAAAAGAACAAGATAACAGCAATGTTCAGGGAACAAGGGAGATAACCATTAGGTATGGCTGCCTGAGAGCTGGGCAGAAAGAGCCATATTTCTCTTCTTTCAAAAGCAAATAGGAGAAATATCACTGAATTCTTTTTCTCAGCAAGGAACATCCCTGAGAAAGAGAATGTGTTCCTAGGGGTAGGCCTCTACAATGGCCACTCTGAGGATGTCTGTCTTTTACGGTTGTAGATATGTAGATAAGGGATGAAATAAGCCCTGGTCTCCTGTAGTGCTCCCAGGCTTATTAGGATGAGGAAATTCCCACCCAATAAATTTTGGTCAGACTGGTTTTCTGCTCTCAAACTCTGTCTCCTGATAAGATGTTATCAAGACAATGCGTGCCCCAAACTCATTAGCAATTTTAATTTTGCCCCGGTCCTGTGACCATTTGCCTTGTGATATTTTATTACCTTGTGAAGCATGTGATCTCTGTGACCCACATCCTATTCATACCCTCCCTCCGCTTTTGAAAATCACTAATAAAAACTTGCTGGTTTTGCGGCTTGGGGGGCATCATGGAACCTGCTGACATGTGATGTCTCCCCCAGACACCCAGCTTTACAATTTCTCTCTTTTGTACTCTTTCCCTTTATTTCTCAGACCAGCCGACACCTAGGAAAATAGAAAAGAACTCACGTTGAATCATTGGTGGTGGGTTCCCCCGATAATCTTCAACAGGAGGAACTTTTTCTTATGTTTCTTTGAAAGTGTCAGGTTGATGTTGTTTTTCCTAAACACCACTGCCCTTTTCTAAATCTTTGGTCTTCAGTCTCACCTCCATTTGCCAGATAGAGAGAGACAGAAGGACACATATGTATCCTCTCTCCCACCCACACAAAATCTCTGTTGGAAGATAAAGTATTTCTTTTTTCATTTGGGCACATGGAGGTGGAGATGAATAAACATTTGGGTCTCTAACTCTCTGCTCAACTAAGCATTAAATAATGAGGTGTTGCTACTCTTAAGGGTTGTTATAATCATGGCCTTCACTTCTTTCAGAGGCCCTTAGAAACTTTCAGCTAGTATGTGTTTGCAGTGAGCAAGCAATCCCATTTTTTAGGAAGAACAATAAACAAAGTCATCATTTTCCTGATCATTTTTTCACAAAATATAGTATGAGATAAACTCAGAATGAAATGTGGCATTTATTTAGTAACCAGTGGGATGAGTTTCACCTTTTGTGTAATCCTTGAATAGAGGAAGGGGCAACAGTAGCTACATAGTCCATCAAAGATTCATGATAGTTAGATGTCAAACCTGCTTAGGGGAAGCCATGGAACAACATTGCTGTGGGTCACTAGAACAATGCAGTATCTATCTCAAAAGATAAGCTTTTTCTTTATCATAAAGAGATAGATTTATTTTCATAGAGCATAGGAGAATTTAGATCTCAAAGCAATCCATAGCCGTAGTAGAGTGACTGAAACTTCCAAGTTTAATAGCTGAAGGTCATAAGCTTCAGTCGTGAAAGAAAATGGCCAGGCATTTCTTGCTAAGTGCTCAAAGAAATTACTGCCTCAATCCTGCATGAAAATGGTAAAAAGAATCTAGCAAATTCAATAATTTACATTATCTATTGCTTAGGTCACTTGCGGACATCTTATAATAAAGGCACATTAGCTGAACTGAAGAATACTGAGACATGAAAAAGCATTCCAAAGATCAACAAATCCAGGAGCTGGTTTTCCGAAAAAAAAATTAATAAAGAGATAGACTCCTAGCTAGAATAAAAAAGAAGAGAGAAGATTCAAATAAACACAATTAGAAATTACAAGGTAGATATTACCATTGACCCACGGAAATACAAACAACTATCAGAGAATATTATGAACACCTCTATGCCCATACTAGAAAATCTATGGCCAGGCGCAGTGGCTCACAACTGTAATCCCAGCACTTTGGGAGGCCAAGGTGGGCAGATCACGAGGTCAGGAGATCAAGACCATCCTGGCTAACACAGTGAAACCCCGTCTCTACTAAAAAAAATGCAAAAAAAAATTAGCCGGGCACAGTGGCAGGTGCCTGTAGTCCCAGCTACTCAGGAGGCTGAGGCAGGAGAATGGCGTGAACCTGGGAGGCGGAGCTTGCAGTGAGCCGAGATAGCACCACTGCAGTCTGGCCTGGGTGAAAGGGTGAGACTCCATCTCAAAAAAAAAAAAGAAAAAAAAAAAAGAAAATCTATTAGAAATACATAAATTCCTGAACACATACACTCGTGCAAGACTGAGCCAGGAAAAAATTGAATCCCAAAACAAACCAACAATGAGCTCTGAAATTGAGTCAGTAATAAATAGCTGATATGAGTTCACCAAAATCTCATGTCAAATTGTAATTTCCAGTGCTGGAGGAGGTACCTAGTGGGAGGTGATTGTATCATGGGGGTGGACTTCTTCCTTGCTGTTCTCGTGATAGAGTTCCCATAAGATCTGGTTGTTTGAAAGTGTGCAGTTCCTTTGTGTTCTCTCTCTCTCTCTCTCTCTCTCTCTCTCTCTCTCTCGGCAGATCCACTGACAGCTTGCACTGTGGATCTAGAAAAGCCACAGGCACTAAACACCAGCCCATGAAAGCATGCAGAGCCACAGGGGCAGAGCTTCCCAAGGCCTTGGGAGCTGACCACTTCGATCAGTGTGCCCTGGATGCCAGACAAGGATTCAAAGGAGATAATTTTGGGCCTTTCAAATATAATGACTGCCGTGCTGGGCTTCAGACTTGCATGAGGCCTGTAGCTCCTTTGTTTTGGCCAATTTATTCCTTTTGGAATGGGAGGATTTACCTGATCCCTGAATCCTCATTGTATCTTGGAAGTACCTACCTTGGTTTTATTTTATAGGCTCATAGGCAGAAGGTACTACTTGCATTGTCTCAGATGAGACTTTGGACTTGGAATTTTGAGTTAATGTTGGAATGAGTTAAGACTTTGGGAGACTCTTTGGAAGGCATAATTTTGATTTGAAATGTGAGAAGGACGTGAGACTTGAGAGGGGCCAGGGGAAAAATGATATGTTTTGGTTCCGTGTCCCCATCCAAATCTCATGTCGAATTGTAATTCCCAGTGTTGCAAGAGGGTCTGGTGGGAGATCGTTCTATCATAGGATAGAGTTCACCCAGGCAAAAATCTGTTTGTTTGAAAATGTAGAACCTCTGGCTTCTCTCTCTTCTGCTGGCCATGTGCAGACATGCTTGCTTCACCTTCACCTGCCACCATGATTGTAAGTTTTCTGAGGCCTCCCCAGAAGCAGAAGCCTATACATTTACAGAATTGTGGGCAAATTAAACCTCTTTTCTTTATAAATTACCTAGTCTCAGCTATGTCTTTATTGCATTGTGAGAATGAATGAATACAATAACTTACCAACCAAAAAAAGTTCAGGACCAGATGGAGCCACAGCTGAATTCTACCAGATGTAGAAAGAACTGGTACAGTCCTGCTGAAACTATTTCAAACAATTCAGAAGTAGGGCCTTCTCCCCAACTCATTCTATGAAGCCATCATCATCTTCATATCAAACCCTGGCAAATAACAACAAAAACATTTCAGACCAGTATTCTTGATAAACATCAGTGCAAAAATCCTCAACCAAACACTGACTGGCAAACCAAATGCGACAGCGCATCAAAAAGCTTATCTACGTGATCAGCTAGGCTTTATTCTTGGGATGCAAGGTTGGTTCAAGATACCTAAATTAATAAATGTGGTTGATCACCTAAACAGAACTAAAGACAAAAAAACACAAGATCATCTCAATAGATGCAGAAAAGGCTTTTCATAAAATTCAAGATGCCTTCATATTAAAAACTCAATGAACTATGTATTGAAGGGACACACCTTAAAATAATGAGAGACGTCTATGACAAACCCACAGCCAACATCATACTGAATGGGCAAAAGCTGGAAGCTTTCCTCTTGAAAATCGGCACAACACAAGAATACCCTGTCATATAACTCATATTCAATGTACTACTGGAAGTCCTGGCCAGGGGCAATCAGGGAATAGAAGGAAATAAAGGAATTCAAATAGGAAGTGAGGATTCAAACTATCACTGTTTGCAGACCACATGATCCTATGTCTAGAAAACCCCATACTCTCTTCCCAAAAGATTCTTAAGCTGATAAACAACTTTAGCAAAGTCTCAGAATACAAAATAAGTGTGCAGTAATTACTAGCATTCCTATACACCAATAACACTCAAGATGAGAGCTAAACCAGGAATCCCACTTACAATTGCCACAAAAAGAGTAAAATACCTAGGAATACAGTTAACCAGGGAGGTGAACGATCTCTACCAAAAGAACTGCAAAACAATGCTCAAAGAAATCAGAGATGAAACAAACAAATGGAAAAACCTTCCATGCTCACTGATAGAAATAATCAATATTGTTAAAATGGTCATACTGCCCAAAGCAATTTATAGAGTCAATGCTATTCCTATTAAACTAACATTAACATTCTTCACAGAATTAGAAAAATCTATTTTAAAATTCATATGAAACAAAACAAAATGGCACAAATAGCCAAGGCAAAGGTAAGCAAAAAGAACAATGCTGAAGGCATCACACTACCCAACTTCAAATTATACTACAGGGCTACAGTAACCAAAACAACATGGCACTGGTACAAAAACAGCCACATAGACCAACGGAACAGAATTAAGAACCCAGACATAAGGCCCCACACCTACACCTATCTGATCTTCAACAAAACTGAAAAAAGCAAGCTATGAGAAAAGGGTTCCCCATGCAATAATTGTTGCTGGGAGAACTGGCTAGCCATATGCAGAAGATTGAAACTGGACCCTTTCTTACACCATACAAAAATTAACTCGAGATGGATTAAAACCCTACACATAAATAAAAACCCTGAAAGACAATCTAGGCAATACCATCTTGGACATAGGCACAAGCAAAGATTTCATGACGAAGACACTAAAAGTAATTGGAACAAAAGCAAAAATTGACAAATGGGCTATAACTAAAGAGCTTCTGTACAGCAAAAGAGTGAACAGACAACCTACAGAATCAGAGAAAAGTTTTGCACACTATGCATCTGACCGAGGCCTGATATCTAGAATCTATAAGAAACTTTAACAAATTTACAAGTAAAAAACAACCCTATTAAAAAGTGGGCAAAGGACACGAACAGAATCTTTTCAAAAGAAGACATGCACATGGCCAAAAATCAGATGATGAAATGCTTAACATCACTGATCATTAGAGAAATCCAAATCAAAATTGCAGTGAGATACTGTCACACACTGTTCAGAATGGCTATTTATAAGAAGTAAAATAATAATAGATGCTGGCAAGGTTGTGGAGTAAAAGGAGAACTTATACACTGTTACTGGGAATGTAAATTAGTTCAACCATTGTGTAAGACAGAATGGTGATTTCTCAAAAAGCTAAAAACAGAAACACCATTGAACCCAGCAATCCCATCACAGTGTATATACCCAAATAAATATTATTATAAAGACACATGCATTTGGATGTTCATTGCAGCACGATTCCCAATAGCAAAGACATGGAATCAACCTAAATGTCCATCAATGGTAGGCTGGATAAAGAAAATGTGGTACATACACACCATAGAAAACTATGCAGCCATAAAAAAGAATGAGACTATGTTATCTGCAGGAACATCAGTGGAGCTGCAGGCCATTATCCTTAGCAAACTAATGTAGGAACAGAAAACCAAATACCACATCTCACTTATAAGTGGAAGCTACATGATGAGAATACATGGACCCATAGAGGGAAACAACACACAGTGGGGCTTATTGGAGGGTGGATGTTGGGAAGAGGGAGAGGATCAGGAAAAATATCTAATGTGTACCAGGCTTAATACCTGAGTGACAAAATATTCCGTACAATAAACCCCCATGACACAAGTGTACCTATATAACAAACCTGCACGTGTACCCCTGAACTTAAAAGAAGCACATTATTTTGTGAAGACAATAGACACAACAGTGAAAACAGTAAAATGACATAGGACTCTGGGGGAGAGAAAAGGCATTTTTAGAAATTCATAAAATGTCAGAAGAAAACCAAGTCATAATGTAAGTGGTGCTTTGGAGGTTGTGTGATTAATTTCTTTTGATAGAGTTGTCACAAACATGTGCCTACTGATAAAAAAAAATTTCCATAGGGAAATGTGGAAACTTTGGCATGAAAGTCATTCCAAAACTGAAGCAGTGTGACAATCAACAGGGGTCAGCTATTAAGATACTGAGTTAAAATTTTGAGATAAATAAAAAGGAGGGAAAACAGGCTGATATAAAGAGTTGATTATATGGCAAATAAGAATCTTTGAAGGGACATATGGGTTAGAATTACTAATTTTAGAAAATAAAAGTAACTGATGAAATATAAATGTGTTGCAGATCACCTGATCAAAGACAATGTGATTAAAAAAGTAAAAGCTTGTTAAAAGCAAAGAGTATTTGCCATTAATAATTATAATAATCAAGTGGAAAGAATAAAACAGCAGATTTTTGGTGCTGGTATAGCATTCTTAAAATCACCAAACTCAGAATGTACAGGTTTTCACAAATCATATCAAATACTATGCATGTTACCTTTACAAGCATAAAATAGGTGGACATCTGGATAACTATACAAATTTTTGGCACTGGCTTTGCCAGTCAATGGAAATTTAGACTTTGAATTTTTCATTAAAAAATCTGTCCCTACACCATTACCTAACAAAATTGAAGTATCTTTCCAAATTAGGAATATATATCTAAATGTGAAACTTTACACTGTATTCTACAAGTGATAATGCATATCTCCTGTCTTCAATACCATCTGCCTCTTACACTGAGATTTACTGATGAAGAAAACAGGATCCTACTGGGCATGGTGGCACGTGCCTATAGTTCCAGCTACTCAGGAGTCCGAGGCAAGAGGATTCATTGAGCCCAGAAGATTGAGATTGTAGTGCATTAAAATCGATCATGCCTGTGAATAGCCTCTGCACTACAGATTGGGCAATATAGTTGGTAAAAAACAACAACAACAACCCAGGCTCACTGATAATTGGTAATATATCTGTCATCTGGGTTTCGATGCAACTGTTTCCCCTGACTTCCTATTATCAGGAAAGGAAAATAATATGCCTTTGTCAGTCTTGAATTAATCCAGGCTAATGTCATCATTCTCATAATTTTGCCACAGTTTTTGGTGAAACCTTATTAAAATGTCAAGCTAATTAGTTTTCAGTACTATTACCTAAAGCCTCTTGATTTCCCAATACCCATTATAAAGTCATGATTCATGATGTACTGAGAAAAACTTACAGGCAACCTTTTCTCTGATAGATTTCCCATCATATCCTGAGCAGACACGTCTATCATTCTATCACAAATTCCGCCTGTAGTCATACTTAAGCAAGTTAATTTGTGGCAGCTGGTAAAATGTTGCATGTGATTTTACATTTTTCACAAGTGGCATTGCATTTTACATTGAGCAACCTTCCCTTAATGGTTTGATGGTTTAGATGGTTGTAAAACTAGTGAGTGAACTGTCCATTTTCCCCAAAGCTAGTAATAGAAAATTTATCCTAGTTTGTGGTGTGTGTGTGTGTGTGTGTAAAATTAAATAAGAATGTATATTGCAATCATTCCCAGTCTGGCTAGAGGTTTCTCTAGAACAGGATTTTGGTTTCATTAATTGTCTCTATTGCTTTTCTGTTTTGATCATGACTATTTCCTTTCTTCTGCTAACTTGGGATTTATTTTTTAAAGGTTTTTTTTAAGGTGGAAATTTTGATCACTGATTGAAGGCCCTTCTAGTTTTCTAATACCAAAATTTAGTGCTGTAAATTTTTCTCACTAACTATTGCCTTAGTGGCTGATACGGTTTGGCTGTGTCGCCACCTAAATTTCATCTTGAACGGTAGCTCCCATAATACCTGTGTGTCATGGTGGGATGGACCCAGTGGGAGGTAACTGAATCGTGGGGCGGGTCTTTCCCATGCTGTTCTCATGATAGTGAATAAGTCTCGCAAGATGTGATGGTTTTATAAAGGGAGTTCCTCTACATAAGCTCTCTTGCTTGCCACCATGTAAGATGTGACTTTGCTCCTCATTTGCCTTCAGCCATGATGGTGAGGCCTTCCCAGCCATGTGGAACTGTGAGTCAATGAAACCTCTTTCCTTTAAAAATTACCCAGTCTCAAATATGTCTTTATTAGCAGCATGTGAATAGACTAATACAGTGGCATTCTGCAAATTCAAATAAATTATGTTTTTATTTTTTCATTGCTAAATACATTAGAATTGTAGTTGATTTTATCTTTGACCCATGGATTATTTAGAGTATGTTCTTTATTTTTCAAATATTTAGTGATTTTTCTAGATAAATTTATATTGCTGATTTCTAATTTAATTCTATTGTGGGGATATAACATGAAAAGGATATGCATTCTATTGTTCAGAGTGTTCTGTAAGTATCAATTATGTCAAGTTGGTCAATACTGTTAACCAAATATGCAATTTTTTTATGATTTTCTGACTACTTGCTTTATCAGTTATTAACAGTATTTAGATTTCCAATGTAATTTTGATTTTTGTCTATATCTTTTGGATTTCAGTCACTATTTTCTTCCAGTGTTTAGAAGTTCTGTGTTTAGGGGCAGTGTTGATAAAAATTTAGGATTGTTATGTTCTCTTGATGAATGTACTTCTTAACAATTATACAATGTCCTCTATTATCTGTGGCAGTATTCTATGATGTTAGTATGGCCTCCTATCTTTCTTTTAACTAGATAGCATGGTATCACTTTTACTATGATTTTACTTGTAACCTATCTGTGTCTTTTAAATTTTAACTGCATTTATTGTAGACGTCATATACCTCCTTTATTTGCTTATTTTATCCTTTTTGTTATATTTTTAACTATACTTTTGTTTTCATTGTAATTTTAGTGCTTTCAGTTTATAGCATACATTTTTAACTTTGATCTATTTTCATCATATTACGCAACTTCACGTATAGTATAAAATCTCAAAGTAATATACTTTCATGTCTCCACTCCTGAGGAGAAACGCACACACACACACACAAACACTCACACACATACACACACATGCACATATACTCCTACAGCACATTCCTATTGTTGTTTAATCAAACAAGTATTATTTAAACAGATTGAAATAATGATTAAAAACCTCACATATTTATGTATTCTGTTAGCATTTTATTTGTATAGGTACCACTTCTGATGTTCCTCCTGGCTTCCTACCAGATTTCTAGGGGGTACTGTTTCCTTTCTCCTTGAAAGACTTCTACATCATGTCTTCTAACGTAGCTTGTTGCTGATGCATTCTTTCTACTTTTGTTTTTAAAATTCTTTATTGCAACTTGGAATTTGAAAGATGTTATTGTTGGGTATGATTTTCTAGGTTTACATTGCTTTTTTTTTTTACTTTAAGTATTCTGTAGATGTCACTCCATCATCTTCTGTCTTGCAATATTTCTGCTGGCAAAACTGTTTCAATACTTCTCTCTGTTCCTCTATACATAACAGGTCCTTTGTCCTTTTGCTACATTCAAGATACTCTTTTCAGTTTTTGACAATTTGATTGTGATATGCCTTCGTGTCATTTTCTTCATGATTCTTGTGCTTGTGGTTCTTTGAGGTTCTTGAATGTGTGGTACTATAGTTTTTATCACAGTTTTGGAAAAAAATAGTTATTCTTTCAATATTTTTCTGTCCCCTCCCTTGTTTACAGGACACAAAACACGTTTACATTGAGCCCATTAGAACTGTTCCACAGCTGACTAATATTCTTCATTTTAAAAAATTACATTTTTCCTCTTTCATTTTACGTATTTTTTTGTGTTAGATGTACTCAGTACCGTGGTGACATATATAGTATGCCAACTTGTGTTTCTTTTGAAGTGTTTTGGCTATTATTGGCTCCCTGTTGTTTTAATAGTAACTTGTCAAGTTCTACAAGAATACCTATTGGAAGTTTTGATTATACTCTTACTAAATATTTAGTTTAATGAAGGAATAATTAAAAATTTATAGATTTGATTCTTTCAGCTATTTTACTACATTTTTAATACACTCAGATCTTCCTTCATGATTTTAAATAAAATTTTGTTATATTATCCATAAAAATCTTGCAAATCTTGTTATTTTTTAAAAAGATACCTGTAGTTATTGTTTACCAAAAATAAAATTACTTCATTCTATTTTACCTTGTAATCACTTTGTTTTTGTTTTTGTATCGAAAGAATGTCATATTTCTACATTTTTTGTATCTAGCATCTTTGCTGAATTGCCTTTCTAGTGTTAATAATCATTTTTATATTCTCATGGATTTGCTATGTAGACAATTACATCATCCACAAATAAAGGCTATGTTGTTTATTCTTGCATTTTTAATTTATATTATTGCCTTAATGTATCAGCTAGGGCTTCCATTACATAATTAAATGGAGTAAGAAATAATGAGCTTCTTTGTCTCATGTCTTACTTTAGTAGGATTGGTTCTAAAATCTTCCCAATCATCTCTTTTTCTGGCTGGATTATCATAATGCATTGCAGTCTATTACATGTTCTTTCCCTTGATTCTTTTTGTAGTACAAAATAGAACTGTTTGTCTTTTAAGCTATCAATGCAAAGAAAACCCATATTATTTAATAAGGCAGTAAATATTTAAAATAACTTAATCTTTAAAACCTCCAAAAGTGCCAACTTGCCCAGAAAACCCATTTATATTCTCCTAAAAATCTGTATCTATAGTCTCATCATCCTGTAATTTGACTCATTTATCTTTCTATACCAAGCTAAATGAAATACTGGTTTATTATTTTACAATTTGAATTAAATGCTAGAATTGCAAGCTTTTAAAAAATACTTAAGATAAATATATAAATATATTTCAATGAACACATAGGTTAAATATATTTTCAAAGATAACTGTGTAAGAAACTTATCATTTAGAAGATTATTTCTAAAGGAAAATGCCGTATCTCCAAACAAGTAATGTGCAAGTTAGCATTTAGAGCTCAACCACTTTCTAATTGGGTAATGTGTGTTGTCAGTACTGCGGAGACCTGAAGTCTAGCTAAGTAAGTCATTTAACAAGGTCAAGTGCCATCAGCTGATATATATCCAGATTGCAGAAGAAATTTTTAAATAACCAGGTTTTGAAGGGTGTGTGTACCACAGAGCCACCCAACTATTTCTATAAGTTTTTAAAAGAAAACGTGGGCCCAGTAAAGAAACCAGCATTTTCCTACCACAGTGCAATGACACATACTCTTAGGTACATAGAAGCCTGAAGCATGCTTTGCAGTAAGATTCATTGCTCTCTAAGATATGATAACAAAGAATATATATGTATATATATATATATTTTTTATATATATATGTAAAATATTCTTCTGAGAGCTATATGAGATAAAGAACAGATACAATTTTGACACGTGATTTAAGTTTTCCCATTCTTATTTTTTCTGAAAGCTATATTTACAATATTCTTAGAAAAAAATTTTTTGAAGTTTCCCATTAAAGCTTTCAACAGTCCCCATTTCCACAATAGTTAGACATTCCCTCCTCTGTGCTTCCATAACATCATGTAGATGTCTGATTAGAATAGGATCTGCTATGGCTAGTCCAACCTGAGCACTCGTTGGTCTGTTGGCCTCCCCGGGCCCCAGTCTGACCACGCTTGCTTACAGGGCAGTCTCGGGTACCCTGGGGCCCACAACATAGCTTCTGTTCCTGACTGATGGAGAGCTCCAGCAAGACAGCTCTTACTGCCATTCCCTAGCCTGCACGTTCCCTCCCCATACTGCAGATTCCCATGAGCCCACAACAAGCTCCCACATCACTTTGCTGGTGCAGGTCTGCATGGATGGGTTATGCTTTACTTGCCAATCCAGCACGTGGAAATGCAGTATTCCCCCCAACCCCTGCTGACTGACATTGCAGACAGAGCCTTGGCAGGCACAGAGCCTGAAAGCCCCACCCCCACCAGCACCCCATCCTTATGCTAACCCTACGAAGAGAATAGGGGATCCTCTCACACCCTGAGTTAGCACTCCTTCTTGCAGGACACAGAGAAGGCACCCAGACATGAACCCACCAGAATCCCACCCCAAGCTAACACCAGCTCCAGTGCAACAGCACGCACAATCTCCAGCAGGGACACACCACTCTCCATCCAGCTTCTTTGCCCCCACCACTGTGGTGAATGCCCACAGGGAAGCAGCCACCCCTGTATCCACTAGAGCTCTGTTGTAGCTGTTGTACCTAGGCCCCCCGCAGTGCAGTGGACTCCAAACCCTGAGGGGATGGAGAAAAACACTGGGGCCCAATTCAAGTCCCCCAGAGTTAGAACACAGTCTTGGAGTTGGGAGCTGAGCATTAGTTCCTAAAACCTCCCAGAAACAAAGACAGTTGGCTGAATCCACCTTATACCATAACCAAACCCTCAAGGTCATCAAATACGATAAAAGAAACACCCCACCCCACACACACACACACACACACACACACACACACACACACACACACAGACCAGCAACCTCAAAGTTTGAAGGTAGATAAGCCCACAATGACGAGAAAGAC
Organism: Homo sapiens; assembly: GCF_000001405.40. Taxonomy (NCBI): domain Eukaryota; kingdom Metazoa; phylum Chordata; class Mammalia; order Primates; family Hominidae; genus Homo; species Homo sapiens. The sequence goes on from NC_000023.11 coordinate 147,109,999, forward strand.
TCAGCACAAGAGCAATGAAAATTCAAAAAGTTGGAGTGTCTTTCCTCCAAATGACCGCATCAAATATCCAGCAAGGGTTCAGAAATGGCTGAGGCTGACATAGCTGAAATGACAGAAACAGAATTCAAACTATGGATAGGAACAAATTTCACTGAGCTACAGGAGTACGTTGTAACCCAATGCAAGAAAGCTAAAAATTATGATAAAATATTGTAGGACCTGACAGAAAAAATAGCCAGTATATAGAAGAATGTAACTGACCTAATAGAGCTGAAAAACACACTACAAGTATTCTACAATGCAATTACAGGTATTAATAACAGAATAGATGAGGCAGAGAAAATCATCTCAGATCTTGAAGGCTGGCTTTCAGAAAAAAAATGATAGGCATTCAAGAAAATGTTCATGAAAATGAACAAACAACCTCTGATAAATATGGGATTACATAAAGAGACAAATACTAGGACTGACTGGTGTCCATGAAAGAGATGAGGAGAGTGGAACCAATGTGGAAAACATATTTCAGGATATCACCCAGGAGAACTTCCCCAGCCTAGCTAGAGAGGCCAATGTTCAAATTCAGGAAATGCAGAGAACCCCAGTAAGATACTTCACAAGAAGATTATCCCCAAGACACAGAATCATCAGATTCTCCAAGGTCAAAATGAAAGAAAAATTTAAAAAAGCCCACCAGACTAACAGTGGACCTCTCAGCTGAAAGCCTATGAGCCAGAAAAGACTGGGGGCAAATATTTAAAATTCTTAAAGAAAAGAAATTCCAACCCAGAATTTCATATCTGGCCAAAGTAAGCTTTATAAGCAAAGGAGAAATAAGATCCTTTTCAGACAAGCAAATGTTGATTGAATTCATTACCAACAGACCTGCCTTACAAGAACTCCTGAAGGAAGTACTAAATATAAAAAGGAAAGACCGTTACCAGCCACTACATAAACACACTGAAGGATACAGACCAGTGACACTATGAAGCAACCACATGAAGAAGTCTGCAAAATAACCAGCTAACTACATGATGACAGGATTATATACACATATATCAATACTCACCTTAAATGTGAATGGGCTGAAAGCCCCAATTAAAAGACACAGAATGGGAAGCTGAATGGAGAACCAAGACCAATTGGTATGCTGTCTTCAAGGCACACATCTCACATGCAGTAGTATATACATAGGCTCAAAATACAGAGATGGAGAAAAATCTACCAAGCAAATGGAAAATAGAAAAAAAGCAGGAATTGCAATCCTACAGTAGTAGTGGGAGACTTTAGCATCCCACTGACAAGACAGATCAGGACAGAAAATTAACAAAGATATTTAGGACCTGAACTCAGCACTGGATCAAATGGACCTGATAGATATCTACAGTACTCTCCACTCAAAAACAACAAAATACATATTCTTCTCACTTCCACGTGGAACATACTCTAAATTTGATCACATAATTGGAAGTGAAACACTCCTCAGAAAATGTAAAAGTACTGAAATTATAACAGTCTTTCAGACCACAGCACACAAAAAAATAGAATTCAACACTCAAAAATTCACTCAAAACCATACAATTACATGGAAATTAAACAACATGCTCTGAAATGACTTCTCGATAAACAATAAAATTAAGGTAGAACTCAAGAAGTTCTTCGAAACTAATGAGAACAAAAATACAGCATACCAGAATCTCTGGGACACAGCTAAGGCATTATTAATAGGAAGATTTATAGCACTAAATGCCCACATCAAAAAGTGACAAAGATTACAAGTTAACAACCTAACATGGCAACCAAAAGAACTAGAGAACCAAGAGCAAACAAATACCTCAGCTAGCAGAGGACAAGAAATAACCAAAATCAGAGCTGAACTGAAGAAGATTCACACACACACACACACACACACACACACACAATGTTCAGAAGATCAACAAATACAGGAGATGGCTTCTTGAAAAAATAAATAATATAGATAGACCACTAACTAGACCAATAAAGTTAAAAAGAGAGAAGATTCAACTAAACACAATCAGAAATGAGAAGGGTATCACCACTGATATCATAGAAATACAAACAACCATCAAAGAATATTACAAACACCTCTATGCACATAAACTAGAAAATAGAGAAGAAATGAACAAATTCCTTGACACATACACCTCCCAAGAATGAACCAGGAAGAGACTGAATCCCTGAACAGACCAATAATAAGCTCTGAAATTGAGTCAGTAATAAATAGCCTACCAACCAAAAGAAGCTCAGACCAGATGGATTCACAGCAGAATTCTACCAGATGTACAAAGAAGAGCTGGTACTTTTCCTTCTGAAACTATTCCAAAATATTGAGTTGAAGAGGAAGAACTCCTCCTTAACTAACTGTGAGGACAGCATCATCTTGATACCAAAACCTGGAAGAGATACAACAAAGAAAGATAATTTCAGTCCAATATCTTTGATGAACAGCAATCCAAAAATCCTCAATGAAATACTGAGAAATCGAATCCAGCAGCACATAAAAAGACTTATCCAACACGATGTAGTGGGCTTTTTCTCTGGGATGCAAAGTTGGTTCAACATATGCAAATCAATAAATGTGATTCATCACATAAACAGAACTAAAGAAAAAAAGCATATGATTATTTCAATAGATGCAGAAAAGACGTTTGATAAAATTCAACATCCATTCATTTTAAAAACTCTCAAGAAACTAGTAATTGAAGGAACATACCACAAAATAATAAGAGCCAACTATGACAACCCCATAGCCAACATCATACTGAATGGGCAAAAGCTGGAAGCATTCTCGTTAAAAACCCGCAAAAGACAAGGATGCCTTCTCTCACCACTGCTATTCAACATAGCATTGGAAGTCCTGGCCAGGGAAATCAGGCAAGAGAAAGAAAAAAATAGGCATCCAAATAGCAAGAGAGGAGCTGAAACTGTCCCTGTTTGCAGATGGCATAATCCTCTAGCTGGAAAACCCTACAGTCTCAGCCCCAAATATTCTTAAGCTTATAAGCAATTTCAGCAAAGTCTTGGGATACAAAAATCAATGTGCAAAAGTCACTGACATTCCTATACACGAACAACAGTCTAGCTGAGAGCCAAATCAGGAAGATAATCCCATTTACAATTTCCACAAAAAGAATAAAATACCTAGAAATACAGCTAACTATGGAGATGAAAGTTCTATACAAGGAAAACTACAAAACACACTGCTCAAAGTCATCAGAGATTACACAAATAAATGGAAAAACCTCCCATGCTCATGCATACGATGAATCAATATCTTTAAAATGGCTATACTTCCCAAAGCAATGAATAGATTCAAGGCTATTCCCATTAAGCTTCCACTGATATTCTTCCCAGAACAAGAAAAAACTATTTAAAAATTCATATGGAACAATATAAAAGCCCAAATAGCCAAGGCAATCCTGAGCAAAAAGAACAAAGCTGGAAGCTTGTTGCCTGACTTTAAAATATATTACAGGGCTACAGTAACCAAAACAGGATGGCACTGGTACAAAAACAGTCACATAGACCAAAGGAACACAATTGAGAACCCAGAAATAAGATCCCACATCTTCAAATATCTGATGTTCCACAAACCTGACAAAAAAACAAACAATGGGGAAAGGATTCCCCATTTAATAAATGGTGCTGGGATAACTGGCTAGCCATATGCAGAAGATTAAATCTAGACTCCTTCCTTACAACATGTACAAAAATGAACTCAAGATGAGTTAAGGACTTAAATGTAAAACCCAAAACTGTAAAAGCCCTGGAAGACAACCTAGGCAATACTATTCAGGACATAGACATGGGCAAACATTTTATGATAAAGATACCTAAAGCAATTATGACAAAAGCAAAAATTGATAAATCAGATCTAATTAAACAAAAGAGACTCTGTACAGGCAAGGACGCTATCAACAAAGTAAACAGACAGTCTACAGAATGGGAGAACAATTTTGAAAACTATGCATTTAACAAAGGTCTAATATCCATCACCTATAAGGAACTTAAATTTACAAGAAGAAAAAAAACAATCCTATTAAAATGTGGGCAAAGAACATGAACAGGCACTTTTCAAAAGAAGACATACATGCAGCCAACAATCAGTTGACAAAATGCTGAACATCACTGATCACTAGAGAAATGCAAATCAAAACTGCAATGAGATACCAGTTCACACCAGTCAGAATGGCTATTAATAAGAAGTCAAAAAGTAACGGATGCTGGCAATGCTGTAGAAAAAAAGATCACTTATACACTGTTAGTGGGAGTGTAAATTAGTTCAACCATTGTGGAAGACAGTATGGAAACTTCTCAAAGAGCTAAGAACAGAAATACCATTCAACCCAGGCATCCCATCACTGGATATATATCCAAAGGGATATAAGTCTTTCTATTATAAAGACATATGCTTGTGTATGTTTATTGCAGCACTATTCCCAATAGCAAAGACATGGTATCAACCTAAATCCTCATCAATGGTAGAATGGATAAAGAAAATGTAGTAAATATACACCACGGAATACTATGCAGCCATAAAAAAACAAAATCATGTTCTTTGCAGGGACATGGATGGAGCTGGAGGCTGTTATTCTTAGCAAATTAATTCAGGAACAGAAAATCGAACGCTGCATGTTCTCACTTATAATTTGGAGCTAAATGATGACAACATATGGAAACAGAAGGGAGCAACACACACTGGGACCTATTGGAGAGTGGGGTGAAGGGTGGGAGGTAGAGGATTAGGAAAGATAACTAGTGGGTACTAGGCTTAATACCTGGGTGATGAAATAATCTGTACAACAAAGCCTCATGACACAAATGTACCTGTGTAACAAACCTGCACATGTACTCCTGAACTTAAAAGTTAAAAAAAAAAAAAAAGAATAAGATCTGCATCCATAATTTGATGACTTCATTTTTAAGGAATAAAAATTGCTTCACCTGACTATTTTTCCTGAAACTTTTACATTTTACCTAATCCCTTAATATTTCCTTTGACTCGATAAATAACTAGGTTGTTAAATAGTAATTAGCCCAAAGAGAGTATATACCAGGATGTCAGAAGCATAAAGAATAATGGTTTTGTTTAATTGTTTATCCACATATATATCTGTGATGTTTGTATTTTGAGATCTAGTCTGTTCACCTAACTGTAGTTGATAGCATGGTTATTGTTATGACTCACGATTGCACAGAATTGATGATGACCTTAACACCTAAGCATTAAATCTTTTCTTCTCCCATGTATCAAACATGGATGTGCCATCTTCACCTCATACAACATTATCAATTATAAAACTCTTTTATCATTATTCCTTAGTTATCGTTTCCGTTCAAGTATTTACAGAATGTTTAAGAGGTTTAATACAATCTCTTCATTTTACAGAAGGAAAAACAAACCTCAAAGTGAATGTGACTTGCTTAGGTTTACATACGTAATTAGTGAGGGAACCAGACAAGAGTCAACTGTTGTTTTTCTCACTATACAATTTCTGTCTATGGCATTTTTATTCATCCTTCATTTCAACCTATTCATTTCTATGGATCTAAAATATTATAAAAGTTGTTCATTAATTGAATACTTTTTGAAGCATAGTTTTTTCTCAGCTACTACTAACATCATCCCAACCTAGGTTCCACATTATCTTACGTCTGAAGAAATGCGATAGTTTTTTAACTGATCACCTTGAAGACAGTTTATTTATGCACCCCCACTGTGACAAACATAAAGATTTAAAGATTGTTTTTGTGGAGTGTCATGCATTATTCTTCACTCTACTTTAAGACCTATAATAGCTACAAATAAAATTAAACTTCCTCATGCTTTTAAGCATAAGATTGATTATACTTTGCTAAGCTAGCTTTACCTATCCCACCCAATCTTAGATTCTGCCACTCCCCAGCATGTGCCCATTATTCCTGGAAACATCATCTGCTAATTCCTAATGCCTGTGACATTTACTCTTGCTTTTATCTCTTGGCACTTCTTATCGCCTTAACTGGAAATACTCTTTCCATCTTTGCAAAGATGATCGTGTCAGTTTCCATACCTTTCCATGAATTGTTTTTTTTCCTTCCTGTTCAACCCATAAATTTTTTAAAAAATACTTTTGATATTTTACTATATCAAAGTTAGCATTTAAATATTATGCTATGTTGATCACTTTTCATTTAGCACGGGTCATTCTTTTTATACTCACTATATAACATCAAGTTTATAGCTCATTCCTCTTTTATATCCGAAGAGCACTACAGCGGCATTAAATAACGGTAAATATTCAAGATACACTGCCTTAAACACATTTCTTTCTGATGCTCAGACAGAAAACGTGATGTAGCCAACTTGTAAAGATTTTCTCTCTGAAACATGTCATACTGCTAGGAAAATTTTTGAAAAGTTAGTATTTTAGATACGTAAGTAGAAATGCAAGGCTAAACATGCACTCTGTGAATATACATCTATGAAAATATTTACTGATTATTTTTTACATCTAGTTTTCCTGATTGTAGTAGGAATACAATATTTCCTTTTAACATTGTAGGCTGAGTTCATTTTAAAGTAAAAACTTCTTGAGATAAGTAAAATAATGCATTTAAATTACCCAACACAGTTTCTGGCACAATGGAGGGTACTCAAGAAATGATAGTTTCTTCTCTGCTTTCAAGTGAAGTAAAGAAAAAAGAAACAGCATTCAAAATGTGATCTATTTTTCCAAATCTGTGTACACTTAACACGTACTACTAAAGTGTATTTTTTTCTGCCTCTGTTTAAATCTGTATATTTTATATAAAAGGATTCTGCTTGTTTTCTGATTTTTATCTCTTATGAGATGCTTAAGGGGCTACTTGGTTTCTGATATATTTTGCAACATTTAAGTTGAAGGTACTGTTCCTTTTAGGTACCAGAGTCTTTTCATGATATTCAAAATTTTCACTTTATTTTATTGTCCTATGGTTACACTAAATCCGTGTTTATTGTAACTTTTGGCACACTGAAATGTTTTGGAGATAAAGAATGTCTTTTAAGATTTCCACTGAGTCTTTCTATAAAGTTTTCTCATTTACGGTAATCCTTCTTTTAGATTACATGGAAGGGATTTGCAGTGCATTGTTTGAACAGAATAAATATAAGAGTCTTATTCTTTGCAAGTCAGCTTAATCCGTCTAAAGCTGACATTTTGATGCAACTCATAAAATGTCTGTTGATTATACACACACACACACACACACACACACACACACACACACATCTATCTATATAGTTAGATACATTAGAGGTAAAGTACTGGCCGCATTTTGTCATTGAGAATATCCTACCTCAATTATCTTAAGTGTTGAAACAAAACAATCATTAAACAGTTTCCATATTTTGCATTAAAATATATTTCTAAAAACATATTTCCTTACCCTTTTGTGCAAAAGTGTTACCTGCCTATTCATTGAAGAAAATAAATGCTATTGACCAATATGTAAAGGCATTTTTCAAACTTGTTTTACCCAATAACCTGGACCTCTGCAGCTGCATATAAATATTTGAGGGCCTATTAAAAATCTAAAATTTTAATTTCCCCCAAATTACTGGTGCATCAAAACATAACCAAATTTTAAATGTACGAATCTGACTCAAAGTAATATTTGTTGCCTACATTGATTTTACATGCACTGAAATTATCTAAACCAAAAAAGACCATCAAAAGTGCCTCGTTGACACTCTAAATTTGCCTCATCCTACTGTTACTAAGAATTAGAAGCAGCACCAGAAAATGCTGACAATTTTTTTTTTTTGCATATTTGGCTGTCTTCACATCAAGTAAAATCTGCTAAAAAAAAAAAACAAAAAAAAAAAACAAAAAAAAACTCCCAAAGCCAAGTGTTAGCTATGAGCTTTAAATGTGTGAGGACTCATCTTCTATCTAATAAAGAAAAATACACTGGAGGTAGCCCTGCATCTACAGTACACGTTAACACACAAAAAAAATGCTCAAAATTCCAATTGATTTGTTTATATTAATTTTAGTCAAATATAATTGTAGAAAATCATCAAATTGACAGAGGGCTCTCTTCCAGTCAACATTTTCTGGATATTTTCCTCATTTCCCTTTTCTAATTATTCAGTCACGTCTATAAATCTAGAATGTACAAAAGCAAGGAAAAAAAACAATCCTGAAAGAAGGAAGTCTGTTAATTTATTTTTATTCTCACCATTTTTTCATTTATAATATTTTATAAGTCTCCAGGTAATTTGGAAAACATCTTTCTTATTGAGATATCTTTTAAAATATTACTTAGATAAAGATGACCATTTGTTACCAGTTTTCTTTGTCTATGTGGATTAAATATAAGTCCCTTGTCCTAAATAAGGCCATGACCTGTACATAGGAATTTTAGAAGCTGTACTGATTGTTAAATGTTTAGCTCATGGATTGATTTTGACCATGTAATCAAATCAAGAATTTTGATTTTGACAGTTAGTAATCAACACAGTAGTCTCAGGAACTACTCAGATTATATCTTCACTTGAATTATTTAAATTTATTATGTTACAAGAAAAAAACCACAAAGAACATTTTAGAAAATTTGATTAAGTCGTCAAATCCTCTCTCTCTCTGTCTTTCTTTCTCTCTCTAACCCACCCACATGCACACAATGCACAATGAATGTATAAGTTTGAGGTAATATTTAGTTAATGAAGGCCCTCCCTGTAAAAATCTTATTTTTTCTATTCAAGATGCTTTTACAATATGTATTGCTTGTTTCAAAACACACCATATTTTAAAGAGAAATATGAAACTTTCTCAGGAACAGCCAGATCTATATGATGAGTGAGGGTCCTAGAAAATAAAGGAGTTGATAAGTAATAAATACAGAAAATATTTATACTAGATATGAAAGAACAGGAATGAGATCAGATGGAACTTGGCCTTGTCTTTCTGGAAGATATAAACAGTTGCAGCAAAACAATGCTATCATTATAACAATGAGAGCAAGAAAGATGAACTACAAAGTAAAGATATTTTTAAAACGAGTTAGGGGGAGGCAGAGCAAGGTGGTGGTAAGTCATCTATGTTAAAAGAGCTCCTGGACGAGGTGGACAATTCTTTCAAAGGGCTTATCAAAACACTAGATACAGAACAGTAAATAATGAAGTTGAAGACAGATAAATGCAGAAAACATGTTTGATAAAATCTAATATTAATGGCAGATAGAAACATCTCAGCAAACTACAAATAGAAATAACCTGATAAAGGTTATATACCAAAAAATGCATAGCTTGCATTATACTTTATGATTAAGGAATGAATACTTTCTCTCTTAGATCAGGAAAAATGCAAGGATGTTTCCTGTTATCTATCAGTTTAACATTTTACTGGAGGTCCTATACAGTGTAATAAGCTAAAAAAAAAAAAAAAAAAAACGAAGTCATATGAGAAAGAAGTAAAACTGGCTTTTTTCCTTGATCCTTTATGTAGATAATTAAATAAAATATCAATAGAATAAATAAAATGTCAAAACTTATTAAATTGTATACTTACAATATGTGCAGTGGACTGTATGCTAATCATACATTGGTAAAGTAGTTTTAAAAAATTAAAGAATTGAAAATTAAAACAACAGTATGTAGAAGAAACAGAATTAAATTTAAAAACAATCAGAAATCACTAACACTGGAAGTGAACAAGATCCACTAAATAAGTCGCATTCATTGTCTGTTGTTACGTAACAAACCATTCAAAAATCTAGTGGCTTAAAACAACACATATTTATCATCTTGTAATGTCTATGGGTCAGCAATCTGGACATGGTTTATCTGGGTCCTCTGCTTCAAAGCCCTTCAGAAGGCCACAACCAAGCTGTCAAGCCAGGTTCTGTAATCTCTCACATCTGAAGGGTCAGTTGAGAAAGTATTTGCTTCCAAGCTTGCACAGGTGGTTGGTAGCAGGATTCAGTTTCTTGAGGAATATTAGACAGAGGGGCTCAGTCTCTTGCTGATTGTTGGCTGAAAGCTCCTCCTTGCCAGGAAGCCCTCTCTGTAACAGCAAACATAGAAGAAGACTCAGAGAGAGAGAATACCAGCAAGAGAGAGGTGAAAATCGTTTTAGTCTAATTACAGAAGAAACATTCCATCATTCCTGCCATAGTCTATGCATTGGAAGAAAGTTACTAGCTCTAGCCTACAATAGTGGAATGAGAATACCACAGGGATGTGAATACCAAGAAGCGCAGGGGTCATTGAAAGCCATGTGCGGAACATACAAATTATCAAAATTGACACAATAAATAAAACTTTAGAATAGCCATGTAGCCACTTAAAAATGCTTTACTGTTGAATTCTAAATGTTTAAGAAAGAAATAGCATCAATCTTTTGAAAATCTTTCCAAAATAGAAAAGATTACTTTCCTACTCATTTTATGAGGAAATTATTATTCTGAAACTAAAACCAAAGATATTCTAAGAAATTATATATATATGTTATATATATGTTATATATATGTTATATATATATGTTATATATATGTTATATATATATGTTATATATATGTTATATATATATGTTATATATATGTTATATATATGTTATATATATGTTATATATATATATTTATGTTATATATATATATATATAAAATAAGCCTGTATTCCTCACTAATATGCAGGAAAAACTCATTAATAAAATAACACCAAATCTAGTGCAACTAGATATAAAATTATCTCATCACCAAGTATGGCTAACTATAGGGACGCAAGTTTGTGTTAATATAGGAAAATCAATTAGTCATGTAATATTTATTAAAATACTCCTGTGTCATTAAATAGTCCTCAATAGTTATGAAAGAATGAATGAAGATTATCTCTTTATATGAATACAATGTAACCAAACCCATATTTATGCATATTTTTTGACATCTCAAATTTATGGTAGTGTGAAATAACCTTGTGATTCACTCTCCATACCTATTTTTTATTAAATACTGCTTTATTTTCAGAATTTAAGTGAGTACAAATAGTTCCCAAACTCAACTGAATGCATGATTTATGTCTTGATAAAAAAAAAGTTTATAACAATTTGGCCTAGATGATACTATATATCCAAATTGGAAATGCTTCTGCTGATCAAAACAATGAGCAAATCTCTAAAAATTATATAACATTAAAAGACTTATACTCAAAAGGAAAATTAAAATCTCTATAAAATGGAAATCAAACATAAATACAAAGTGGTAAGGAAGATAGGATGAGAACTTTATGAGATTAGTGAAGGGGAGCAAGTCAAGACAACCACACATTTAAGTTCCAAGAGATAGCAGAGGCTAATAGTGCAGCAAACATGTGCGGGGACTAATGCTTGTTCAACCAAAAATATAGGCAAGAATCAACCACCCGTGAAAGGATACCAAGAAAAAGCTATAAGCTCATACTGAAGCTAGGGTTTAACAGCGGATGCTGGAACTGAGAAGCCCATCCTTGCGGCTAGGAGCTCGGCTAAGCTGCCTGCTGGCTTAGAGACTGCATCTGTGACAAGAAATCAATTATGATAATATTTTCCTTTGTGGTTCTGTTCTAGGGATCAAATTAAAGCAATATCAAGTCCATTTGTCAGGGAGATTTGAGCACATGAAAAAATAAGAAAATAAAATAGTCCTACTATAAGTAAATCAGCAAACCGACTTGCAAACACATAAGAAAAGTTAACATTAAAAATACCATAAAGTGAAAAATATAGAAAATGTGTTAACTTTGGAAGACATGGAAATTATAAATAAATCCAACATCATTTTTAACTTAAAGATGACTACAAGGTTCAAGGAGATAAATGAAAAAATTTTATGCATAAAACAAAAATGAGCCGGGTGCAGTGGCTCACGCCTGTAATCCCAGCACTTTGGGAGGCCGATTTTAATTTTCGGGTGGATCACCTGAGGTCAGGAGTTTGAGACTAGTCTGACCAACATGCAGAAACCCCGTCTTTACTAAAAATACAAAATTAACCGGGCGTGGTGGTGCATGCCTGTAATCCCAGCTACTCAGGAGGCTGTGGCAGGAGAATCGCTTGAACCTGGGAGGTGGAGGTTGCAGTGGGCTGAGAGTGCGCCATTGCACTCCTTTGGGTTAAAAATAAGCATGAATTGAAATGGGAAGTGGTGCACGTGAAAAATTAGAAATTCTTGAAATTAAATGCATGTTCATTAGAAATGTTTTAAAAGTCAGTGGACAAATTGTAGATAAGACACAGCAGAAAAGAGTACAAGTGAAAGGAAGAAACAGTTTTTTCCTAATAATTTTTTAAAAATGTACAAGTTTTAGATTTACAGAAAATTGCAAACATAGTACAGAGTTTCCTTACAAAGTACAGAATTCCCACACACGGTTTTCATTATTTTTAATAGCTCACATTAACGTGGTATGTTTGTTACTGTTAATGAACTATCATAATAATGACATTATTAACTAAAGTCTACTTTTCATTTAGGTTTACTTAGGTTTTAACTTAGTGTCCTTTTGCTCTTCCAGGATATCATCCAGGGTATATATTATTAAATTTAGTGATGTCTCCCTAGACTTATCTGGACTCAGAGTTACTTAAATATTCTTTTTGTTTTTGGATCACCCTGACAATTTTGAGGAGTACAGGAGAGATATTTTATTGAATTCCCTTCAGTTGAAATGTATCTAATGTTTTCTTAGGTTGGAGATGGGATAATCTTCTTTTGGGAAAAAGACTAAAGAGGTAAAGTGCCACGTTCATCACATAGTATAAGAGTACATACTTACGTGACTTATCACTGTTGATATTAACTTTGGTCACCTGAAGTAATTTTTTTGCAGGTTCTTCCAACGGAAAGTCATGCTTATTTATTTTTTTCTTTCTTTCAATGTTATAGCCTTTTAAAGGAAGTGACCATATGTAGCCAAAACTTAAAAAGTGGGGGGTTATGTTCTACCATCTTGATAGTGGAATATCTCCATAAATTACATGAAATCATTCTGCAGGAAGATTTCTCTTCTATCTATTTACTGATTGAATATTTTGTTTATAGTGGGATGGACTCATTAATATTTATTTTATACTTTGAGTTCTAATTCAGTAGTACTTTATTGTTCAATATGTTCCCCCTCTGTCTATTGGGAGCTGTTTCAGTCTATACTTGTACCCATTTGACATACCGTTATCAATTTAGATTTTTTTGTTTTGTTGTGTTGTGTTTTTCTTTTGCATTTGCTTATTTTATTGTATTACAAGATGCTCCAGGATTATCTTGTATGTTTTCCGATTCATTCCTAGAATCATCCATTTTTCCAAGGAGCCCCAGGTCCTTATGCTGGAGAGTGGTTTTGGAAATGAAGATGTGGGCTAGCTAGATTTATATGATTTTTAATTTCAACTTTTATATTAGTTACAGGGTATACATGTGCAGGTTTGTTACATGGGCATATTGCACCCAGGTAGTGAGCATAGTACCCAATAGGTAGTTTTTTAAACATGTGCCTCCTCCTTCCCTCCCTGCTCTAGTAATACGCAGTATCTATTGTTCCTATGTTTATGTCCATATGTGCTCATCATTTAGCTCCCACTTATAAATGAGAACATATGGTATATTCTTTAGTACAAAAGTATTATCGATTCTAGGTGATCATAGCTAATAGAAGAAGTAAATAAATAGATGTATACTAACCAATATATACACACATACCATAGTTTGGTTGTTTGTCTCACCAAACCTCATTTCAAAACTTGATCCTCAATGTTGGAGGTGGAGTCTAATGGGAGGTGTTTTGGTTATAGGGGCAGATCCCTCATGAATAAATCGATGCCCTCCCTGATGGGGAGGGAGGGAGGGAGTTTTTACTCTGTTAGTTCCTGTAAGAGCTGGTTGTTAAAAAAAAAAAAAAAAAAAAAAAGCCTAGCACCTCCCCTCTCTCTCTCTTACTTCCTCTCTTCCCATTTTGATCCCTTCACAATGGCTCCCCTTTGCCTTCCATCATGAGTAGAAGCAACCTGAAGCCCTCAACAGATGCAGATTTGGGCACAATAGTTTTTGTGCAGCCTGTGAAACTGTGAACCAAATAAGCCTCTTTTCTTTATAAATTATCCAGCCTCAGTTATTCCTTTATAGCAACACAACATATATCTTGAAATATTTCTTTATGTAATCATTTGTCTCTCTATTAAGCTAAATATGTGTTCAGACTGATGTCCCCAACTTCAGTGCACTACCATAGGAGGCATTCTAGTCTTATCTCTCGTTTATCTGTAAACACCCACTGTAACATTGAGAAAACTGGCTCCTACCATTCCCTATGCATTTACCTAATTGGTCAATCCTAGTATATATTTAGAGTGGTTTTCAGAATTGTTAGCCTCTACTCTCACAGGAAACAACTTTCTCAACTAAAGTATCGTACTTTTCTTGGTTCATTTTTGTCTTTATTTTCTACAGATTCCACTTATTTTCAAAGTTACTTTGCTCAACACTCTTTTCTCTCGCTTCTTCCATGAGGTTGGTTCATACATTTGTAATACAGAACAGTCAGGTTATTTTATCAGAGTTGCCATTACATCCCAAAATCTCCTGACCTCCTGAAAGGTAATTTTGTAATGTGCATACACTGTTTGCCTCTTTGTTTTGTAACATCCAGTGGATTTTGACAGATGCCTAGTGTCAAATGTTTACTACTACAGAATCATAGAGAATAGTTTCACTGCCCTCAAATATCCTATTTACATCACCTATTCAACCCACTCATGATCTCCGAGCCCCTGACAACACTGATCTATTTACCATCTTCAGAATTTTGCCTTTTTTCAGAATGTAATATAATTGGAATCATCCAGTACACAGCCTTTTCAGACTGGCTTCCTTCCACTGAGCACTAAACATACACGTAAGTTCCCTCCATAATTTGACATAGCTTGATCGTTAATGCATTCTTTCCTTTAAAGAGTATTTCATTGTATGGATATACTACAGTTTATTTGTCCGTTCACCTACTGAGGGACATTTTGGCTATTTCCAAGTTTCAGCAATTATGATTAAAGCTACTATAATAATCATCCACACGCTGGCTTTTGTATTGGCGTAATTGTCTAAATCAAACGAATACGTAGGAACATGATTGCTGGTAAGACTATGTTTGACTTGAGAAGAAAATACCAAACTGTCTTCCAAAGTGGCTGGACTGTTTAAGATTCCCATCAGCAATGAATGAGAGCTCTTGTTACTTCATCTGCTCACCAACATTTAATATTTTCAGAGATTAAAAAAATTATGTTAGAGCTGGGCACGGTGGCCCACTCCCGTAATCCCAGCACTTTGGGAGCCAGAGGCAGGCGGATCACTTGAGGTCAGGAGTTCGAGACCATCTTGGCCAACGTGGTGAAACCCTGTCTTTACTAAAAATACAAAAAAATTAGCCAAGTGTTGTGGCACGTTTCTGTAATCCCAGCTATTCGGGATGCTGAAGGAGGAGAATCATTTGAACCTGGGAGGTTGAGGTTGAAGTGAGCCGAGATATCATGCCACTGCATTGCAGCCTGGGCGACAGAGTGAGTCAGTCTGTCTGTCTGTCTGTCTGTCTGTCTCTCTCTCTCTCTCTCTCTCTCTCTCTATATATATATATATATATATATATATATGCCATTCTAAGAGTAGGGGTGTCTTATTGTTCTTTCAATTTGATTTTCCCTACTTAGAAAGAATGTTGATTGTTTTCATATGCTTATTTTATACTTGTATATCTTCTTTGGCAAAATATCTGCTCAGATACCTGCTCATTCTTTCATTGGTTTGTTTGTTTTGTTATTGCTGAATATTGAGTGTTCTTTGTATATTTTGGATAAAAGTCTTTTCACAGATAGATGTTTGACGGATATTTTCTCCAGTCTATGACTTGTCTTTTCATTATTTATTTATTTATTTCTATTGATACATAATAATTGTACATATGTAGGGTACATGGGATGTTTTGATACATGCATATAATATCTAATGCTCAAATTAGGATATTTAGGATAGCCATCACCTCAAACATTCATCATTTCTTTGAGTTGAAAACAATCCAAATCTTTTCTTTAGCTATTTTTGAATACATAATAAATCATTGTTAAATATAGTCACTCTACTCTGCTATTAACCATACAGTTAGATAAAATAAATATCTTTTTTATTCTAACAGTCTTTCACAAAGCAGGAGTTTTTAATTGCTATAGTTCAGCTTTTCAATTTTTCTTTTCATCATTTTTTATTGTTGTATCTAAATATTTATCACCAAGCTCACTTACAGTTCCTTTCATGTTTTCTTGTAGAAGATTCGTACTATTATATTTAGGTTCAGAATCTATTTTAAAGTACTCTTGTGAAAGCCATAACTTCTGTGTCTACCAGAGCAATTAGTTGAAATAACTATCCTTTCTCCATTGAATATTATTTTTGCTCCTTTGTCAAAGTTCAGTTGGCTATATTTGTGTGGGTCTATGTCTGAACTCTTTATATATATATATATATATATACTTAAGTTCTGGAATACATGTGCAGAACGTGCAGGTTTGTTACGTATGTATACATGTGCCATGGTGGTTTGCTGCACCCATCAACCCGTCATCTACATCTACATTAGGTATTTCTCCTAATGCTAACCCTCCCCTAGCCCCCCAACCCCGGACAGGCGCCAGTGGGTGATGTTCCCCTCCCTGTGTCCATGTGTTCTCATTGTTCAACTCTCAATTATGAGTGAGAACATGCAGTGTTTGGTTTTCTGTTCTTGTGTTAGTTTGCTGAGAATGATGGTTTCCAGCTTCATCCATGTCTCTGCAAAGAACATGAACTCATCCTTTTTTATGGCTGCATAGTATTCCATGGTATATATGTGTGCACATTTGCTTTATCCAGTCTATCATTGTTGGGCATTTGAGTTGGTTCCAAGTCTTTGCTATTGTAAACAGTGCTGCAATAAAAATACACGTGCATGTGTCTTGGGTTTCAAGCACAAAACTGGGTGGTCATTTGGGCCGACACCGAGCTAGCTGCAGGAGTTATTTTTCATAGCCCAGTGGCACCTGGAATGCCAGGAAGACAGAACCTGGGACAGTCGAGCTTGGTGTGGGGAGGGGCATCCACCATTACCAAGGCTTGGACTCTTTATTTTGTTCCATTGCCCTATGTATCTGTACTTTCACTGATACCACACTGATCTAATTACTGAAGATTTATAATAATCCTTGAAATCAGCTAGTGACAGTCTCCCAACTTTATTGCTTTTAAGTTCCTTTTAAGTAATGTGATGCCATATAAGGTCTTTTGCTTCTTGGTATAAGCTTTAGAATCAGTTTGTAATGTCTTTACTTGGTTTTATCATTATGGTTATCCTGGCTTCATGTAATGAATTAGAAAATATTTCCTCTGGTTCTCTTTTTTGGAAGATGTGGTGGAGAAAAGATAATATTTTTTTCTAATATATTTGGTAGAATTTACCAGTGAAAATATACTGGACTGGTGCTTTTGTTCTTGCAAGTTTATTACTTATTCAATGTTTTAATACTTATATAAGCCTATTCATATTATTTATTTTTACTTGTGTGCATTTTGGTAGTTTATGCCTTTTAAATAATTTCATTTCACCTATGTTACAAAATTTGCAAGCAAAGAGTTGTTTTAGTATTGACATGTTATCCCTTTAATGACCATGGGATCAATAGTGATAACACAACATAATTTCTCATGTTGGTAATTGTGTCTTCTCTCTTTTTTACTTGGTTTGCTTTTCTTTGAGAAGATCTTTATGAATCAATAAAAATCTGTTCAAGAAAAAGATCTTTATCTTTATCCTCCAGCTCCATCCATGTTCCTGCAAAGAACATGACCTCATTCTTTTTTATGGCTGCATAGTATTCCATGGTGTATAGGTACCACATTTTCTTTATTCAGATTTGTTAATAAAGATCTTTTAAAAGTAACTGCTCTTTTGATATCATTTATAGTGTCCATCGTTTTGTGGTTTTGATTTTATTGATTTCTGTTATAATTTTTATTATTTATTTTCTTCAGCATACTTTAAGCTTAAATTTATCTTCTTTTTAGGATTTTATAAGGTGGAAACTTGGAATATTGACTTTAGATATTTCATTCATTCTGACACCTGCCCTTAATGCTACTGACTTCCATCTAATCACTTAATACTACACAGTTTGAAAAGTTGTATTTTCCTTTTAACTAACTACAAAATATTTTAAAAATTTCTTTTAAGACTTCTTATTTGGTTCATGTGATATTTAGAAATGTGTTCATTAATTTTAAAATATTTCAATAATTTTCAGCCATCTTTCTGTTATTGATTTCTAGTTTAATTTAAATGTGATTTCAGAACACATTTGACTTATTTCTATTTTTTAACCTAACTTTTATTTTAAGTTTTGGGTACATGGGCAGGTTTGTTATATAGGTAAACTTACGTCATGGAGGTTTGTTGTACAGGTTATTTAATCACCCAGGTATTAAGCCATTAGTTAACCCATTAGTTATTTCTCCTGATCATCTTCCTCCTCTAGCCTTTACCCCCAATAGGTCCCACTGTGTGTTATTGCCCTCTGTGTATCCATGTGTTCTCATCATTTAGCTCTCAATTATAAGTGAGAATATGTGGTATTTGGTTTTCTGTTCCTGCATGAGTTTGCTAAGGATAATGGCCTCCAGTTCCATTCATGTCCCTGCAAAGGACATGGCCTTATTCTTTCTTATGGCTGCATAATATTCATGGTATACATATACAACATTTTCTTTATCCAGTCTACCACCGATGGGCATTTGGGTTGATTCCAAGTCTTTGCTATCGTGAGTAGTGTTGAAATGAACATACGTGTGCATGTGCCTTTGTAATAGAAAGATCTATATTCCTGTGGGTATATACCCACTGATGGGACTGCTGAGTTGAATGGTATTTCTTTAATGAATCGCTCTTTCAGGAATTGCCACACTGTCTTACAAAATGGTTGAACTAATTTACACTCCCACCAACAGTGAATAAGTATTCCTTTTCTCCACAATCCTGCCAGTATCTACTATTTTTGTGACCTTTTAATAATAGCCGTTCTGACTTGTGTGAGATGGTATCTCATTGTGGTTTTGATTTTCATTTATCTAATGATCAGTGATGTTGTGCTTTGTTTTTCACATGTTTGGTGACTGTATGTGTTCATTTGAAAAGTGTCTTTTTATGTGTTTTGCCCACTTTTTCATGTGGTTGTTTCTTTTTTATTGTAAATTTGTTTAAGTTCCTTATAGATACTGAATATTAGACCTTTGTCAGGTACATAGTTTGCAAAATTATTCTCTCATTCTGTAGGTTGTTTGCTGTTAGTGTCATTTGCTGTACAGAAGGTGTTTAGTTTAATTAGATCCTATTTGTCAATTTTTGCTTTTGTTGCAATTGCTTTTGACATCTTTTTTAATGAATTGTTTCCTGTTCCCATGTCCAGAATGGTATTGCCATATATTGATTGATGTTTCATGTCTCCCTAAAATGTATAAAACTAGGCTGCGCCCCAACCACCTTAGGCACATGTCTTCAGGACTTCCTGAGGCTGTGTCAAGGATATGCATCCTCAGCTTTGGTAATATAAACTTTCTAAATTAACTGAGATCCGTATCAGATTTTCTGTGTTTACATTTTGTTAACCACGGGGGGATGCTGAATGGAGATGCCCCGACTTTTGACAAATCTCCTATTGGTGCTTGGTTCCGGCGTTAGCTAACTTTATGGCTCGAATCAACAGGACAATTTGCTGAGGTCTGAGAGCACCCCCTCCAGAGATACCTGATCTCCCAAAATTTGGTTGAGATCTATAGTTTATTTTGCTACACAACTCTATTTTTGGAGTTCTACTTCCTTCCAACACAAGGAAGGCAAGATTTTTCTGCTTTCATTATGATGTAAGACATGTAACTCCTTTATGGAGTTTGAACTCTCTTCCAAAAGGGAAGATGAGGTGTTTTTTGTTGTTTTTTTTGTTGTTGTTGTTTTCTGCTTCTAGGATGGTAGAGAGCAGTCTACAGCCCGAGACCCATCACTAGCTAAGAAACTGGTTAGGGATTTTGTCTTGCAAATTCTTTTTAAATGACTAAAGTTAGCATTAACAACCAGCTGGTGTTAATTTCTGCTTACACTTAGAGTGCTCAGAAATTGTACAATTTGTGTGATCATTGTTTAGCAGCATTTTGTCCTAGCTGAAATATGGTAATAAGATTAAAAAAAAATTTTTTTAAGGCACTCAGTGGTTAAAAGTCAGCTTAATTAAATGGCTAACATCCAAGATGTGTGTGTGTGTATGCGTGCATGTTTGTATTTAAAAGGCCTTCATCTTTTTGGTTTTGTTTGTTTGTTTGTTTTTCTCTCCTAAGACCTTGTCTTTTTTTTTTTGAGCAAAATTTTATTTTCTTTTTCTTCTCAGTTGACTGAATTCTGTTTTTACTTGATTTTCTTTTTGACCGAAAGAGTTATTGCAAGAGAGACTACTTCTTGGTGTTTTAAGGAAGAGTGTAGTTTAATTTTATGTTTAATTTGGCTCAAATAAAAATAAAGGTGTCTCCCTCTAGCACCACCAGACTTTTTCTCTCTGTACCTTATGATGTAAATTTTGCTATTTGATTTTCACCTTAGTTGTTTCCTTTAATGTGCAAATTCAAGGCTATTTGGCTGACAACTGCCTTGGGTTGTGAAACAGGTTATCAAGAATCTGAAAGTCTAAGTTAGGAAACAAAAAGAGGGTGGTTTTCATAAATCTATAAAATGTACTTCCATTGGTATGCCTAATATGCCTTTATATGTATTTATGTGTTTTGTACAAAATGTTTCACTACTAAAAGTATATAAAAGAGCTCTAGTTAACTGGCTTAAAAAAAATAAAAGTGCTTAAATCAGATACTAAAAAAAAACTACTCAAATGCTTTGTTGAGTTTATGTAACTTAAGTAAAATCTTTAGTAAATAAGCTAGCTTTAAGATTATTGGTAAAGTAATATTAGAAATGTCTTAAGAAATGCCAGCATACATTTTTGTTTGCATTTATTAATCAAGCAAATTTCATACTTATCCCTGTCAAATACTATAAGGTGTCAAAATTTGGCATAGGGGTTACAAAACTATAAAGCGAGCCCCAAACAGAATGATCTCTGCTTGTGTAATTTTTAATCAATAAGACATTGATATAGGTTTAATGAAAATAGCTGCATCTTGAATTTAGTAAGATTACTATAACTTCTAATCTTATAGCTTTAGGCAGTCTGGTCCACAGAAAATAAGGAGGTTTATTTTGAGAAAAGACTGTTATCATCTTTGTTTCAAAGCAAAACTGTAAACTAAGTTTCTCCCAAAGTTAGTTTGGCATATGTCAAGGAATGAACAAGGACAGGTTGGAGGTTAAGAGCAAGATGGAGAGAGTTAGGGCAAATCTTTTTTCACTGTCTCAGTTATAATTTTGCAATGACAGCTTCATAACTACTATCGCAGTTTTCATAAATAATCTAGGTAAGCAATTAAAATAATTAGGTAAATGTAATGGGATAAATACTTGTAGACTGGTCATAATTTAGAATATAAAGTTAAATTAAATAATAGATATTTCATTATTTGTGTATTTTCCAATAAATATATATTGTAGGTTTCACTTGCATCCCTGTGAAGAGACCACCCAACAGGCTTTGTGTGAGCAACAAGGCTGTTTATTTCACCTGGGTGCAGGTGGGCTGAGTCCAAAAAGAGAGTCAGCGAAGGGAGATATGGGTGGGGCCGTTTTATAGGATTTGGGTAGGTAGTGGAAAATTACAGTCAAAGGGGGTTGTTCTCTGGTGGGCAGGGGTGGGGGACACAAGGTGTCGGTGCTCAGTAGGGGAGCTTTTGAGCCAGGATGAGCCAGGAGAAGGAATTTCACAAGGTAATGTCATCAGTTAAGACAGGAGCAGGCCATTTTAACTTCTTTTCTGATTCTTCAGTTATTTCAGGCCATCTGGATGTATACCTGCAGGTCACAGGGGATATGATGGCTTAGCTTGGGCTCAGAGGCCTGACATTCTTGTCTTCTTATATTAATAAGAAAAATACCATAAAATAGTGTTGAAGTGTTGGGGCAGCAAAAATTTTGGGGGTGGTATGGAGAGATAATGGGCGATGTTTCTCAGGACTGCTTCGAGCGGGATTAGGGACAGCGTGGGAACCTAGAGTGGGAGAGATTAAGCTGAAGGAAGATTTTGTGGTAAGAGACAATATTGTGGGGTTGTTAAAAGGAGCATTTGTCATATGGAATGATTGATAATGGCCTGGATGTGGTTTTGTATGAATTGAGAAACTAAATGGAAGACACAAGGTCCGAATAAGAGAAGGAGAAAAACAGGTATTAAAGGACTAAGAATTGGGAGGACCCAGGACATCCAACTAGAGAGTGTCCAAAGGGGTTCAGTGTAATTACTTGTTTGGTTGGTGAGTTTTGGGGCTCTATTCTTGACAGAGTCCTTTTGCAAGAGCAAGGGCTTGAGTTAAGGCAATGAGTTTGTCTTGTTGAGAGGTAGTGGAAGGGGGCAGAGCGGTAGCCTCAATGATAGGTGTGGAAGATACTACAGCATAGCCTGCCTTTGCTAGTGAGTGGTGATTAGGCCTGGTGGAACTGCCATCAATAAACCAAGTGTGTTCAGGGTGAGGGACAGGAAAGAAGGAATATGGGGAAATGGAGTGAATGTCAGGTGGATCAGAGAGATACAGTCATGGGGGTCAGGTGTGGTATCTGGAGTAATATGGGAGGCCACACTGAAGTCCGGGCCAGGAACAGTGATAACTGGGAGACTCAACAAAGAGTAACTATTGCTGAAGGAGCCAGGGAGCAGAAAGTATATGCATCAGGTAGGAGGAAGAAAATAGATTTTGGAAGTTATGAGAGCTTGAGGGAAGAGAGACCTTCTCATATTGTTTTATATTGTTTTATACTCAGTACCTGTTTTAAGAAAAAACAACAAGAAAGTAAAACCAAAGACAGGCAGCCCAGCACCAGGCCCAAAACCAGGATTGGGCCTGCCTGGCCTAAACCCAGTAGTTAGAAATCAACTCATAACTTAGAAACCAATGTTATTCATAGATTCCGGACATTGTAGAAAAGAACATTGTGGGACCTGGCTCGGCCTGGCGAGGAGCAGCCTGGGGAGGAGGGGAGAGGTCAGATGGGTCTGTAGAAAAGGAAGATTGGAAAGACTCAGCAACGCTTGGGGTTGGGACTGAGGGGACAGGCAGGAGGGAAAGAAGCAAGATTTGGGACAAGATGCATTGGGAACAGAGACTAGGGAGGAACCGATGTGTAAAAGAATGCCTGGACGTCAGGCACCTCAGACCCATTTGCCCATTTTTTGACAAAAATCATTCAGGTCCTGTAGGATGGAAAAATTGAAAGTGCCATTTTCTGGCTATTTGGAACCATTGTCAAGTTTGTATTGGAGTTAAGTGGCATTGCAGAAGAAAATAAGGCATTTAGGTTTCGGGTCAGGTGTGAGTTGAAGAGGTTTTAAGTTTTCGAGAACACAGGCTAAGGGAGAAGAGGGAGGAGTGGAGGGTGGAAGGTTGCCCATAGTGAAGGAGGCAAGGGGTGGGAGGTTCTTGCCCCCTAGGAAAGTGGAAAAGGGGTGGATAGAGACATGGAGAGAAGGGGTTGGGGGTGCTTGCCCCCCAGGAAAGTGGAAAAGGGGTGGGTAGAGACATGGAGAGAAGGGGTTGGGGGTGCTTGCCCCCCAGGAAAGTGGAGAAGGGTTGGGTAGAGACACGGGGAGAAGGGGTTGGGTGAGCAGCCCTAGGCTGCAATGTGGGTGAGCAGCCAAAGCAGGCGTCCCCACAATTGACTTGCCACCAAGGGAATGTGGGTGAATGACCAAGGCAGACATCCCCGTGGTGATCAGACACCAATGAAATGTGGGTGAATAATCAGGCAGGCGTCCTTGTGTGATTAAACACCAAGGGAAGACTGTCTTCCCGAGTCCGTGACTGGCGCCAGAGTTTTGGGTCCACGGATAAAACATGTCTCCTTTATCTCTACCAGAAAAGGAAAGAACTGAAATTAAGAGAAGGGAAAGATTGAATTTAAGAGAAGGGAGAGATTGAAGTGTGGTGCCAAGATTGAAAGGAGAAAGAGGTTGAGGGATAGTGAGAGAGGTTGGAGAGGAGAGTAAAAAGAGGCTGCTTACCGGATTTAAAATTGGTGAGATGTTCCTTGGGCTGGTTCTGAGGACCAGAGGTTGTAGGTGGATCTTTCTCATGGAGCAAAGAGCAGGAAGACAGGGGATTGATCTCCCAAGGGAGGTCCCCCAATCCGAGTCACGGCACCAAATTTCACTCATGTCCATGTGAAGAGACCACCAAACAGGGTTTGTCTGAGCAACAAGACTGTTTATTTCACCTGGGTGCAGGTGGGCTGAGTCCAAAAAGAGAGTCAGTAAAGGGAGATAGGGGTGGGGCCATTTTATAGGATTTGGGTAAGTAGTGGAAAATTACAGTCAAAGGGGGTTGTTCTCTGGTGGGCAGGGGCAGGGGGACACAAGGTGCCCAGTGGGGGAGCTTTTGAGCCAGGATGAGCCAGGAGAAGGAATTTCACAAGGTAATGTCATCAGTTAAGGCAGAAACAGGTCATTTTAACTTCTTTTGTGATTCTTCAGTTACTTCAGGCCATCTGTATGTATACCTGCAGGTCACGGGGGATATGATGGCTTAGCTTGGGCTCAGAGGCCTGACAGTAGGAAAACATTCTTGCTAAAGAGAAAAAAACTGTGTGTGTGTGCGTGTGTTTTTTAAAGGTGAACAAGTTTTGTCTGATTCAAAGCTTATTTAAGGTTATACATAAAACAAGATAAAAGGAACTAGGAATAAAAAAGATGTAAAGAAAGTCATAGGTATAAAGAGGTTTTTTTTTTTTGAGGTAAAAAGGCTTACAGAGAAATAATTGTATATAAGAAAGAATCTTGTATGGTAAATTTCATCCTAAAATAAAATAACTGGTTGTTTAAAAAGGAGGGATGTTCAGGACAAACCAGAATGTCTGAGCATGTCATGAACAGTCAGTGTAAGACACAATAAGAGGATTTATATATTGAAAAAAAACTATGATCAAACATACACAAATCAATAAATGTAATCCTTCACATAAACACAACCAAAGACAAAAACCACATGATTATCTCAATAGATGCAGAAAAACACCTTTGCTAAAATTTAACATGCCTTCATGTTAAAAACTCTCAATAAACTAGGTATTGATGGAACATATCTCAAAATAATAAGAGCTATTTATGACAAGCCAACAGTCAATATCATAGTGAATGGGCAAAAGCTGGAAGCAACTGGTACAAGACAAGGATGCCCTCTCACCACTCCTATTCAACATAGTATTGAAAGTTCTGTCCAGGGCAAACAGCCAAGGGAAAAAAAAGAAAGTATATTCAAATAGGAAGAGAGTAAGTCAAATTGTCTCTAGAGATGACATAATTCTATATTTAGAAAACCCCGTATCTCAGCCCCAAAACTCCTTAAGCTGAAAGCAACTACAGCAAAGTCTCAGGATACAAAATCAACGTGCAAAAATCACAAGCATTTCTTTACACCAACAATAGACAAGCAGAGAGCCAAATCATAAATGAACTCCCATTCACAATTCCTACAAAAAGAATAAAATACCTAAGAATACAAGGGATGTGAAGGACCTCTTCAAGGAGAACTACCAACCACTGCTCGAGGAAATAAGAGAGGACACAAACAAGTGGGAAAAAATTCCATGTTCATGGATAGGAAGAATCAATATTGTGAAAATGGCCATACTGCCCAAGGTAATTCATAGATTCAATGCTGTTCCCATCAAACTGCCACTGACATTCTTCACAGAATTAGAAAGATCTACTTTAAATTTCATATGGAATCAAAGAAGACCCTATATAGCCATGACAATCCTAAGCAAAAAGAACAAAGCTGGAGGCATCACACTACCTGACTTCAAACTATACTACAAGGCTACAGTAACCAAAACAGCATGGTACTGCTACCAAAACAGACACCAATGGAACAGAACAGAGACCTCAGAAATAACACCACAAATCTACAACCGTCTGATCTTTGACAGACCTGACAAAAACAAACAATGGGAAAATGATCTCCTATTTGATAAATGGTGCCAGGAAAACTGGCTAGCCATATGCAGAAAACTGAAGCTGTACCCCTTCCTTATACCTTATACATAAATTAACTTTAGATGGATTAAATACTTGAATGTAAGTCCCAAACCATAAAAAGCCCTAGAAGAAAACCTAGGCAATACCATTCAGGACATAGGCATGGGCAAAGACTTCATGACAAAAACTCCAAAAGCAATTCAACAAAAGACAAAATTGACAAATGTGATCTAATTAAACTAAAGAGCTTCTGCACAGCAAAAGAAACTAGCATCAGAGTGAACAGGCAACCTACAGAATGGGAGAAAATATTTGCAGTCTACCCATCTGACAGAGGTCTAATATCCAGAATTTACAAGGAATTTAAATAAATTTACAAGAAAAAACGCCATCAAAAAGTGGGCAAAGGATATGCACAGACACTTTTCAAAAGAAGACATTTACATGGCCAAGAAATATATTTTTAAAAAAAGCTCAACCTCACTGATCATTAGAGAAATGCAAATCAAAACCACAATTAGATGCTATCTCACGCCAGTCAGAATGGCAATTATTAAAAAGTCAAGAAACAACAGATGATGGCGAGGCTGTGGAGAAATAGGAAAGCTTTTACCCTGTTGGTGGGACTATAAATTAGTTCAACCATTGTGGAAGATAGTATGATGATATCTCAAGGGTCTAGAACCAGAAATACCGTTTGACCCAGCAATCCCATTACTGGGTATATACCCAAGGGAATATAAATTATTCTACTACAAAGACACAGGCACATGTATGTTTATTGCAGCACTATTTACAATAGCAAAGTCATGGAACCAGTCCAAATACTCATCAGTGATAGACTGGATAAAGAAAATGTGTTGTTGCATATACACCATGGAATACTATGCAGCCATGAAAAGAAATGAGATCATATCCTTTGCAGGAACATGGATGAAGCTGGAAGCCATTGTCCTCAGCAAACTAACACAGGAACAGAAAACCAAACACTACATGTTTTCACTCAGAAGTGAGAGTTGAACAATGAGAACCCATGGACACAGGGAGGGGAACAGCACATACCAGGGCCTGTTGTGGGGTGGGGGGCCAGGGGAGGGAACTTAGAGGACAAGTCAATAGGTGCAGCAAACCACCATGGCACAATATGCCTATGTAACAAAACTGCATGTTCTGCACGTATATCCCAGAACTTAAAGTAAAATAAAAATAAAATAAAATAAAAGGGCTTGTTAAAGGGAGCTTATTTCTTTTTGCCCTTCTGTCTTCTGCCATGGGAGGACACAGTGTTTCCACCCTCCAGAGAATGCAGTGTTTAAGATACCATCTTGGAAGCAGAGAGCAGCCCTCACCTGACACTGAACCTGCCGGCACCTTGATTTTCGACTTCCCAATCTCCAGGCCAGTAAGAAATAAATTTCTGTTCTTTAAAATTTACTTAGTCTCAAATAGTGTGTTATAAAGCAGTACAAAATAAGCTAAGACAATGGAAGTGATGCTTCTATAGCCAAGGAACACAGAAAACTGCAGGAAACCACCAGAAGCTGGGGGAAGGGAATGGAATAGGTTCTTCCTTATAGCCCTCAGAAGAAACCAGCCTGCTGGTAACTTTATCTTGGACTTCTAGTACCCAGAACTAAAAGGCAATACATTTCTGTTGTTTAGGTCAGCCAACTTGTGGTGCTTTGTTCTGAGAGCACTAATACAGTTGGGGGAAATGGACTGTCAATAAATGGTGCTGAAATAAGTAGCTGATCATTTGGAGAAATTAATCAGGTATTTACCTCGAAGAAGAAGAAGAAGAAGCAGAAATAAAGAAGAAAGAAGAAGAGGAAGTGTCAGGCCTCTGAGCCCAAGCTAAGCCATCATATCCCCTGTGACCTGCACGTACACATCCATATGGCCGGTTCCTGCCTTAACTGATGACATTCCACCACAGAAGAAGTGAAAATGGTCTGTTCCTGCCTTAACTGATGACATTACCTTGTGAAATTCCTTCTCCTGGTTCTTCCTGGCTCAAAAGCTCTCCCACTGAGGACCTTGTGACCCCCACCCTTGCCCGCCAGAGAACAACCCCCCTTTGACTGTAATTTTCCTTTACCTACCCAAATCTTACAAAATGGCCCCACCCCATCTCCCTTCACTGACTCTCTTTTAGGACTCAGCCCACCTGCACCCAGATGAAATAAACAGCCTTGTTGCTCACACAAAGCCTGTTTGGTGGGCTCTTCACACGGACACGAGTGACACAAGTGAAAGGAAGAGGAAGAGGAGGAGAAGGAGGAGGAAGAGGAAGAGGAAACAACTATTAGGGTTATTGCAGGTAAATCCCATGAAATCAATAGTTTTCCTAGAAACATAGGAGTTTCTTACTCTCAAGAGTCCACACTCAGCCTCCAGAAATGCATCAAAATCACAGTTGAAGTGT
This sequence comes from Homo sapiens, assembly GCF_000001405.40. NCBI lineage: Eukaryota > Metazoa > Chordata > Mammalia > Primates > Hominidae > Homo > Homo sapiens. The sequence goes on from NC_000023.11 coordinate 147,138,622, forward strand.
TTCTAACAGTGTATCACTTCAGCAGTTTCTGCTTCGGGTAGCCATATATCGGTTGTTACTCTGGATTCACTTCTCTCTCCAAACATTGGGGTGGCACTTTGCCCTGCAACTTCAGTTTTGGATGGATCTGAGTAGTAATTGATTTTTAGTTTGTTCAGTTTTTTCTTGTACAGATGGTAGTAACAACTTCCAATCTCTTCGCATGTCAAAGATAAAACCAGAATATTAATATTTTATGCAGGTTGATGGTTTCCTATTGTGTAAAAGATCATGTCAAAACTGAGTGGCATTAAAAAAAAATTGGATTTGTTACAATTTTATGGGTTGTGTGCTCAGGAATGAGAGAGCAAGATGGCTCATCTCTGCTCTACAATGACTGTGGCCTAAGCCGAGGTGGTTCAGATGACTGGAGATGGCTAGCAGAACTTCACCAAGACCACATATCTCAGGCCTCAGTTTTAGACATTGGCTAGTGTCCTTACTTCTTTTTTCAAGTCATGTCTGCTGGGTCTGGAGTGACTTTGATGGTTTTTTTTCACTCACAATTCTGGTGCCTGAGCTAGACTGGCTGGATGATAGATCTGTCCGGGTTTTTCTCTCTCTCTCTCACTCCATCACCTCTTCACATGATTCATTTGAAATTCCTAACAGCATAATAGTCTCAATGCATTTGGACCTCTTACATCCTGGTGGCCAGGTTCCCCCAGAGAAAATCTCCCAAGAGATCTAGAGAGTTATAAATATTCTCATTACTTAACCTTGGATGCCCCACAATGTGATAGTATGTGGTCTAGATTCAAGGGGAAGAGCATTAGTCTCTATTTTTCAACAGAAAAAGTAGCAAAGAATTTGGGACTTTGTGTAATTAGAATCCAGAACAGAGAGATAAATATGTGAAAAAATTGTTCAGTGATATAGACAGTAAGTTGAGTGACAAAACCATGTTTGCAACTGAAGTTTCAGAAGCAAATTTAAAAGAGCTAATGATTCATAGTTTTTTAGAATTTAAAAAATGAGCATTTTTACTGAAAATATACAAATATTAAGGTATATAAAAATAAATGTAAATGTATACCTTAGCCCATTAAGGTGAAACTCCAAATTGTCAGGAATAAAGAAAAATTTTCAATGACCAGACACAAAAGACAACCTACAAAAAATGTTAAATTGCAATAAACATGGATGTGCAGATATCTCTTCAATATATTGATTTCCTTTCTTTTGGATATATATCCAGTAGTGGGATTGCTGAATCACATAGTAGTTCTATTTTTAGTTTTTTTAGGAGCTTCCATATTGTTCTCTGTAGTAGCTGTATTAATGTTCATTGCCACCAGCAATGTATGAGGATTCCCCTTTCTCCTTTTTTGCATTCGTTATTGCCTGTCTTTTTGATAAAAAACATTTTAACTCAGGTGAGATGATACACATTTGAGTTTGATTTGCATTTCTCTGATGATCAATAATTTTGAGGATTTTTTCCTATACGCATTGGCCATTTGTATGTCTTCTTTTAAGAAATGACTATTCAGATCTTTTGCCCATTTTTAAATCAGTTTTTTTTCCTATTCTTTGAGCTCCTTATATATTCTGCTTATTAATCCCTTGTCAGATGAGTAGTTTGCAAATATTTTCTGCTAGCCTGTAGGTTATCTTTTTACCTTATTGATTGTTTTCATTTCTATGCAAAACCTTTTTTGCTTGATGCGATCCTCTTTTTTCATTTTTGCTTTGGTTGCCTGTGGTTTTGACGTTATACTAAAAAACTTTACAATTATTTTATCGTCTTGCTGAATTGATCCTGTTATTGCTATGTAAGAACTTTGTCCCTTTTTATAGTTTTTATCTTGAAATCTAAGTATAGCTAGCCCTGCTTTCTTTCTGTTTATATTTGCAGAGAGTATTTTTTCCATCCCTTTGTTTTCAGTCTATGTGTGTCTTTATAGGTGGAGTCAGTTTGATACAATTCTTTATTAATTGTTTCATGTAATTACTTTTAAAATCTGTTAATAAATGAAAGAATAAGAAATATGCAATTGTACCATATTTAAATTTACCTACATAATTACCATTACTGGCATTCTTTATTTTTTCATGAAGATTTTAATCACTGTCTGGTGTGACTTGCTTTCAGCCTAAAGAACTTTCTTTAGTATTTACTGTAAATAGATGTCTGCTAGCAACACATTCTCTCTCTCTCTCTCTTTCTGTATCTGGAAACGTATTTATTTTACCTTCATTTTTCCAGAATAGTTTTGCTGAATATAGAAACATTGATTTAAAATGTTTTTCTTTCACACTTGAATATATTATCTCACTGCCTTCTACCCTTCATGGTTTCGGATGAGATGTCAGTATTAATCTTATTAAAGTTTTCTTGTGCATGACAAGTAGTTTTCCTTTTGCTGCTTTCATGATTATCCTTGCTATTTCAGAGATTGGCTATTATGTATCTAGCTGGGTATCTTCTTCATTAAATATTTCTTGGAGTTCTTAAGCTTCTTGGATATCTAGACAGTGTTTTTCATCAATTTAGGAAGTTGTCAACCATTGTTCCCTCAAATATTATTTTTCCCCTTTTCCCCTTTCTTCTCCTTCTAGTATTCTTATTATACATATGTATGTGCACTTAATGTTACTTTATATTTCTCTGTTCATTATTCTTTGTTTTCTTCAGATTGCATATTTTCTATTGTACTGTTTTTAAGTTCACTCATCCTCTTTTCTGCTGGCTCAAACCTGCTACTGAACTTTCCTAGTAAATTTTTTCTATTGGTTATTGTACTTCTCAATTTCAGAATTTCTATTTGGTTCCTAGAATTTATAGCTCATATTTGGTATCTTTTGTGTGATGAGACAGTCAGCATACCCTCTTTTGCTTTGATTTGCTTTCCTTTAGTTCTGGGAGCATATTTATAGTAGCTGCTATGAAATCTGATTTCTAAACCAAACATTTAGACCCCTCAAAAGCAGTTTTTTTTGTCTGCTCTTTTTGTGTGCATAGATCACATTCTCCTCTTTCCTTTAATCTCTCATACCTGTTTATTAAAAAGAGGACCTCTTAGGTAATACATTGTAGAAACTCTGGATACTTAACTCTTTCCACCCAGGAAGATAATATTGTTGTTTTTTGTGCTTGGTGATTTATTTATTTATTTAGTGATGGCTGAATTAATTCTGTGAAGCCTATTTTCTTTTTTTGGGGGGGTTAATAATTCTAATGTATTAAAATATTTTCAAAATCAAAATGTCTCTGGCCATAATATTAGTTGTTTAAATGTTTGCATTGTTTTCTTTTTCTTCCAGCTCTCCATCCCTTTATAACTTGTTTGTCCTTTTCACTTTATTTCTCTTTTTTTTCCTTTTTCCTAATCTCTTTTTTTATTTTATTTTATTTTATTTTATTTTATTTTATTTTATTATTATTATACTTTAAGTTTTAGGGTACATGTGCACAATGTGCAGGTTAGTTACATATGTATACATGTGACATGCTGGTGTGCTGCACCCATTAACTCGTCATTTAGCATTAGGTATATCTCCTAAAGCTATCCCACAACAGTCCCCGGAGTGTGATGTTCCCCTTCCTGTGTCCATGTGTTCTCATTGTTCAATTCCCACCTATGAGTGAGAATATGCGGTGTTTGGTTTTTTGTTCTTGAGATAGTTTACTGAGAATGATGATTTCCAATTTCATCCATGTCCCTACAAAGGACATGAACTCATCATTTTTTATGGCCGCATAGTATTCCATGGTGTATATGTGCCACATTCTCTTAATCCAGTCTATCATTGTTGGACATTTGGGTTGGTTCCAAGTCTTTGCTATTGTGAGTAGTGCCGCCATAAACATACGTGTGCATGTGTCTTTATAGCAGCATGATTTATAGTCATTTGGGTATATACCCAGTAATGGGATGGCTGGGTCAAATGGTATTTCTAGTTCTAGATCCCTGGGGAATTGCCACACTGGCTTCCACAAGAGTTGAACTAGTTTACAGTCCCACCAACAGTGTAAAAGTGTTCCTATTTCTCCACATCCTCTCCAGCACCTGTTGTTTCCTGACTTTTTAATGATTGCCATTCTAACTGGTGTGAGATGGTATCTCACTGTGGTTTTGATTTGCATTTCTCTGATGGCCAGTGATGATGAGCATTTTTTCATGTGTTTTTTGGCTGCATAAATGTCTTCTTTTGAGAAGTGTCTGTTCATGTCCTTTGCCCACTTTTTGATGGGGTTGTTTGTTTTTTTCTTGTAAATTTGTTTGGGTTCATTGTAGATTCTGGATATTAGCCCTTTGTCAGATGAGTAGGTTGCAAAAATTTTCTCCCATTCTGTAGGTTGCCTGTTCACTCTGATGGTAGTTTCTTTTGCTGTGCAGAAGCTCTTTACTTGAATTAGATCCCATTTGTCAATTTTGGCTTTTGTTGCCATTGCTTTTGGTGTTTTAGACATGAAGTCCTTGCCCATGCCTATGTCCTGAATGGTATTGCCTAGGTTTTCTTCTAGGGTTTTTATGGTTTTAGGTCTAACATGTAAGTCTTTAATCCATCTTGAATTAATTTTTGTAGAAGGTGTAAGGAAGGGATCCAGTTTCAGCTTTCTACATATGGCTAGCCAGTTTTCCCAGCACCATTTATTAAATAGGGAATCCTTTCCCCATTGCTTGTTTTTCTCAGGTTTGTCAAAGATCAGATAGTTGTAGATATGTGGCATTATTTCTGAGGCCTCTGTTCTGTTCCATTGATCTATATCTCTGTTTTGGTACCAGAACCATGCTGTTTTGGTTACTGTAGCCTTGTAGTATAGTTTGAAGTCAGGTAGTGTGATGCCTCCAGCTTTGTTCTTTTGACTTAGGATTGACTTGGCGATGCGGGCTCTCTTTTGGTTCCATATGAACTTTAAAGTAGTTTTTTCCAATTCTGTGAAGAAAGTCATTGGTAGCTTGATGGGGATGGCATTGAATCTATAAATTACCTTGGGCAGTATGGCCATTTTCACGATATTGATTCTTCCTACCCATGAGCTTGGAATGTTCTTCCATTTGTTTGTATCCTCTTTGATTTCATTGAGCAGTGGTTTGTAGTTCTCCTTGAAGAGGTCCTTCACATGCCTTGTAAGTTGGATTCCTAGGTATTTTATTCTCTTTGAAGCAATTGTGAATGGGAGTTCACTCATGATTTGGCTCTGTTTGTCTGTTATTGGTGTATAAGAATGCTTGTGATTTTTGTACATTGATTTTGTATCCTGAGACTTTGCTGAAGTTGCTTATCAGCTTAAGGAGATTTTGGGCTGTGACAGTGGGGTTTTCTAGATATACAATCATGTCGTCTGCAAACAGGGACAATTTGACTTCCTCTTTTCCTAATTGAATACCCTTTATTTCCTTCTCCTGCCTAATTGCCCTGGCCAGCACTTCCAACACTATGTTGAATAGGAGTGGTGAGAGAGGGCATCCCTGTCTTGTGCCAGTTTTCAAAGGGAATGCTTCCAGTTTTGGCCCATGCAGTATGATATTGGCTGTGGGTTTGTCATAGATAGCTCTTATTATTTTGAGATACGTCCCATCAATACCTAATTTATTGAGAGTTTTTAGCATGAACGTTGTTGAATTTTGTCAAAGGCCTTTTCTGCATCTATTGAGATAATCGTGGTTTTTGTCTTTGGTTCTGTTTATATGCTGGATTACATTTATTGATTTGCATATATTGAACCAGCCTTGCATCCCAGGGATGAAGCCCACTTGATCATGGTGGATGAGCTTTGTGATGTGCTGCTGGATTCGGTTTGCCAGTATTTTATTGAGGATTTTTGCATCAATGTTCATCAAGGATATTGGTCTAAAATTCTCTTTTTTGGTTGTGTCTCTGCCCGGCTTTGGTATCAGGATGATGCTGGCCTCATAAAATGAGTTAGAGAGGATTCCCTCTTTTTCTATTGATTGGAATAGTTTCAGAAGGAATGGTACCAGTTCCTCCTTGTACCTCTGGTAGAATTCGGCTGTGAATCCATCTGGTCCTGGACTCTTTTTGGTTGGTAAGCTATTGATTATTGCCACAATTTCAGATCCTGTTATTGGTCTATTCAGAGAGTCAACTTCTTCCTGGTTTAGTCTTGGGAGGGTGTATGTGTCGAGGAATTTATCCATTTCTTCTAGATTTTCTAGTTTATTTGCGTAGAGGTGTTTGTAATATTCTCTGATGGTAGTTTGTATTTCTGTGGGATCGGTGGTGATATCCCCTTTATCATTTTTTATTGCGTCTATTTGATTCTTCTCTCTTTTCTTCTTCATTAGTCTTGCTAGCGGTCTATCAATTTTGTTGATCCTTTCAAAAAACCAGCTCCTGGATTCATTAATTTTTTGAAGGGTTTTTTGTGTCTCTATTTCCTTCAGTTCTGCTCTGATTTTAGTTATTTCTTGCCTTCTGCTAGCTTTTGAATGTGTTTGCTCTTGCTTTTCTAGTTCTTTCAATTGTGATGTTAGGGTGTCAATTTTGGATCTTTCCTGCTTTCTCTTGTGGGCATGTAGTGCTATAAATTTCCCTCTACACACTGCTTTGAACGTGTCCCAGAGATTCTGGTATGTTGTGTGTTTGTTCTCGTTGGTTTCAAAGAACATCTTTATTTCTGCCTTCATTTCGTTATGTACCCAGTAGTCATTCAGGAGCAGGTTGTTCAGTTTCCACATAGTTGAGTGGTTTTGAGTGAGTTTCTTAATCCTGAGTTCTAGTTTGATTGCACTGTGGTCTGAGAGAGAGTTTGTTATAGTTTCTGTTCTTTTACATAGTTGGAGTGCTTTACTTCCAACTATGTGGTCAATTTTGGAATAGGTGTGGTGTGGTGCTGAAAAAAATGTATATTCTGTTGATTTGGGGTGGAGAGTTCTGTAGATGTCTATTAGGTCCGCTTGGTGCAGAGCTGAGTTCAATTCCTGGGTATCCTTGTTAACTTTCTGTCTCGTTGATCTGTCTAATGTTGACAGTGGGGTGTTAAAGTCTCCCATTATTATTGTGTGGGAGTCTAAGTCTCTTTGTAGGTCACTCAGGACTTGCTTTATGAATCTGGGTGCTCCTGTATTGGGTGTATATATATTTAGGATAGTTAGCTCTTCTTGTTGAATTGATCCCTTTACCATTATGTAATGGCCTTCTTTGTCTCTTTTGATCTTTGTTGGTTTAAAGTCTGTTTTATCAGAGACTAGGATTGCAACCCCTGCCTTTGTTTGTTTTCCATTTGCTTGGTAGATCTTCCTCCATCCTTTTATTTTGAGCCTATGTGTGTCTCTGCACGTGAGATGGGTTTCCTGAATACAGCACACTGATGGGTCTTGACTCTTTATCCAATTTACCAGTCTGTGTCTTTTAATTGGAGCATTTAGTCCATTTACATTTAACGTTAATACTGTTATGTGTGAATTTGATCCTGTCATTATGATGTTAGCTGGTTATTTTGCTCGTTAGTTGATGCAGTTTCTTCCTAGCCTCGATGGTCGTTACAATTTGGCATGATTTTGCAGCGGCTGGTACCGGTTGTTCCTTTCCATGTTTAGTGCTTCCTTCAGGAGCTCTTGTAGGGCAGGCCTAGTGGTGACAAAATCTCTCAGCATTTGCTTGTCTGTAAAGGATTTTATTTCTCCTTCACTTATGAAGCTTAGTTTGGCTGGATATGAAATTCTGGGTTGAAAATTCTTTTCTTTAAGAATGTTGAATATTGGCCCCCACTCTCTTCTGGCTTGTAGAGTTTCTGCCGAGAGATCAGCTGTTAGTCTGATGGGCTTCCCTTTGTGGGTAACCCGGCCTTTCTCTCTGGCTTCCCTTAACGTTTTTTCCTTCGTTTCAACTTTGGTGAATCTGACAATTATGTGTCTTGGAGTTGCTCTTCTCGAGGAGTATCTTTGTGGCGTTCTCTGTATTTCCTGAATCTGAATGTTGGCCTGCCTTGCTAGATTGGGGACGTTCTCCTGGATAGTATCCTGCGGAGTGTTTTCCAACTTGGTTCCATTCTCCCCGTCACTTTCAGGTACACCAATCAGACGTAGATTTGGTCTTTTCACATAGTCCCATATTTCTTGGAGGCTTTGTTCATTTCTTTTTATTCTTTTTTCTCTAAACTTCCCTTCTCACTTCATTTCATTCATTTCATCTTCCATCACTGATACCCTTTCTTCCAGTTGATCGCATCGGCTCCTGAGGCTTCTGCATTCTTCACGTAGTTCTCGAGCCTTGGCTTTCAGCTCCATCAGCTCCTTTAAGCACTTCTCTGTGTTGGTTATTCTAGTTATACATTCGTCTAAATTTTTTTCAAATTTTTCGACTTCTTTGCCTTTGGTTTGAATTTCCTCCTGTAGCTCGGAGTAGTTTGATTGTCTGAAGCCTTCTTCTCTCAACTCGTCAAAGTCATTCTCCATCCATCTTTGTTCCGTTGCTGGTGAGGAGCTGCGTTCCTTTGGAGGAGGAGAGGCACTCTGCCTTTTAGAGTTTCCAGTTTTTCTGCTCTGTTTTCTCCCCATCTTTGTGGTTTTACCTACTTTTGGTCTTTGATGATGGTGATGTACAGATGGGTTTTTGGTGTGGATGTCCTTCCTGTTTGTTAGTTTTCCTTCTAACAGACAGGACCCTCAGCTGCAGGTCTGTTGGCGTTTGCTAGAGGTTCACTCCAGACCCTGTTTGCCTGGGTACCAGCAGTGGTGGCTGCAGAACAGTGGATTTTCGTGAACTGCTAATGCTGCTGTCTGATCGTTCCTCTGGAAGTTTTGTCTCAGAGGAGTACCCGGCCGTGTGAGGTGTCAGTCTGCCCCTGCTGGGGGGTGCCTCCCAGTGAGGCTGCTCGGGGGTCACGGGTGAGGGACCCACTTGAGGAGGCAGTCTGCCTGTTCTCAGATCTCCGGCTGCGTGCTGGGAGAACCGCTGCTCTCTTCAAAGCTGTCAGACAGGGACATTTAAGTCTGCAGAGGGTACTGCTGTCTTTTTGTTTGTCTGTGCCCTGCCCCCAGAGGTGGAGCCTACAGAGGCAGGCAGGACTCCTTGAGCTGTGGTGGGCTCCACCCAGTTCGAGCTTCCCAGCTGCTTTGTTTACCTAAGCAAGCCTGGGCAATGGCGGGTGCGCCTACCCCAGCCTGGCTGCCACCTTGCAGTTTGATCTCAGACTGCTGTGCTAGCAATCAGGGAGACTCCATGGGCGTAGGACCCTCCGAGCCATGTGCGGGATATAATCTCCTGGTGTGCCGTTTTTTAAGCCTGTCGGAAAAGCGCAGTATTAGGGTGGGAGTGACCCGATTTTCCAGGTGCCGTCTGTCACCCCTTTCTTTGACTAGGAAAGGGAACTCCCTGACCCCTTGCGCTTCCCGAGTGAGGCAATGCCTCGCCCTGCTTCGGCTCGCACACGGTGTGCTGCACCCACTGTACTGCACCCACTGTCTGGCACTCCCTAGTGAGATGAAGCCGGTACCTCAGATGGAAATGCAGAAATCACCCATCTTCTGTGTCTCTCACGCTGGGAGCTGTAGACCGGAGCTGTTCCTATTCAGCCATCTTGGCTCCACTGCCTATTTTCTTTACAGTGTGCAGTCTGCTGTCTGTGCTCAGATTTTCCTCCCTTATTTTTGAATTTTAGCCTAGTTTCCTAGGGGTTGTCCCTGGGCTGGCATAGGTCACTTAAAGTCAAAGTTTTGCATTAAGCACTCTTGGCTAGTTAGATTAATTTTTATTTTCTACCATCACATGCATATTTATTTTTGTTGCTACTGTCACTGTCAGGGAGTTTATGTTATTACCTCCCATTAAACCAGGAAAAAGTATCTTGTACTTTCATCACTCCTAAGAGAGCATAGCTTTGGGCATGGACACAGTCCTCCACACTGCCAGAGATGTATGTGACTTTAATTTTAAGCCTGGCTTCCTAGGAGCTGCCTTGAGTCCATGTAGCTTTTATTCTATAAAATAGCACCCTGTGCTGTAAAACTTAATGGGAAGCTTTTGATGCTTAGATTAAATTACTATGACGTTAGCTTGTGTTTATACACTATTTTTTTTTCTATAGCAAGGGAAAATAAGATTATTAAACTAAATTACTTAAAACGTTCTGGCATCGTTAAAATATAAACAAAAGATTTATGTTATATAAAGTTTGTTTAAACATTTTACTCCCCACAAATACCCACGCAAACGTTTTGTATAATGTTAAGGAAAAAAGAGGGAAATCCTTTAGGGAATGAAAACAAATGCACTTTATTTCCCAACACTAATTCAGGGCCTTGTTTCCTAACTTCTTTAGAAGAATGCATTTGACCATATTTCACTTATATTTTATTATTGAATCAAAGAGTCATAGTAAGACTTTCTGTAAAAGCTTAGAAATATATGTGCATAAAATCTAGGTACAATACATTTGCCAGTATGTGAGAACAACTTTTAAATATTTTACTTTAGGTAAAACAGCTTGTTTCTTTCATGGATTAGAAACACAACAAAAGTAATTTTAACTTCTACATTTATATGCTGAAAAGCAAAGAATGATAAGATATTAAGTAGAGGAGCTTTTTATGAGTAAGAAAGTTAGCCTTCAGTACCAGTAGGAAAATAATGAACAGTTTCTTCTTGAAGAGCTTGCAAACAATGCTTTATATTTTCTCAACTGTTAATAACACCCCAAAAATGCAACAATTAACATTTATGAAGTACTTACTATGTACTTAGGACTAAGGTAGATAAGCAATATACATAGGCTTTGCTCTCAAGTTGTTAATAGAGGAGGAGAAACTAACTTGTTATAGTAATATTAGGAAATAATTTATTGAGAAAATAGTGCTTAAGCAGGAGTTTAGTAAACAGTTCAGTTGTATGCATATCTTATTTACGCATTCATCAGTTGTTGGACATTTGGTTTACTTCCACTTTTTAGCTCTTATAAATTTGCTGATTCTATAAACATTTGTGTACAAATTTTTGTATGGTCATGTGTTTTCAGTTCTTTTCAGTAGATACCTAGGAGTGGAATTGCTGTGCCATATGGTAACTTCATTTTGAATCTTTTGAGTGACTGCCAGTTTATTTCCAAAGTGGCTACACTATATGACATTCCCACCAGTAATGTGTAAGGGTTTAAATTTCTACAAATTTTTTGCCACTTATTTTTTTTTTTACAGTATTTGTTGCCAATATTTTTGCCAATACAGTATTTTCTATCTTTTTGTCATAGCCACTTTAGTGTCTCTGAAATGATGTCTCATTCTTAGGGTAGTTCTCTCCCAGCCTTCATTAAAAGAAAAGTCATCAGAAAAAGCTATGAATATGCCAGCTGTCTAAGACAGTTTGGATTGATATAGCAAAATATCATAAATGGAGTGGGTTATAAATAACAGAGATTTATTTTTAACAGTTCTGGATGTTGGTTGTTTGAGATCAGGGGCCCAGCATTGTCATGTTTTGGCAGGGGTGCTCTTTCAGGCCGCAGACAAGTGTGACTTTTTCTTGTATCTTCACATGATGGGGAAAAAGCTAGCTATCTCTCATACCTTTTTATATAAGGGCGCATACCATTGATGAAGGCTGCACCCTTGTGACCTAATTGTCTCCTAAAGGACCCACTTCCAAATACCATTACACTGGGATTAGGGTTTTAACAATATGAATTTTGGGGGAACACAAACATTTAGTACATGGCACTAGCCAATTAAATAACTGAGATTAGATTGACACATTTATAGAAATACACACGTAAAGTGAACTTAATGAAATTAAAAATTGTGTGCTACAAATGATATCCTTAAGAAAGTACAAAGATTACCCACAAAATGGAAGAAATGTTCATCAGTGATATATTTGTAAGAGACTCTTTTTTTTTTTTTTTTTTTGAGATGGAGTTTTGCTCGTGTCACCCAGGCTGGAGTGCAGTAGCGCAATCTCGGCTCACTGCAACCTCCGCCTCCTGGGTTCAAGCAATTCTCCTGCCTCAGCCTCTCAAGTAGCTGGGATTACAAGCATGTGCCACCACGCCTGGCTAATTTTTTTGTATTTTCAGTAGAGACGGGGTTTCACTTTGTTGGCCAGGCTGGTCTCGAACTCCTGACCTCAAGTGATCCACCCTCTTTGGCCTCCCAAAATGTTGGGATTACAGGCGCAAGCCATCAAGCCCAGCCTGTAAGGGACTCTTATACAGAATACACAAAAGACCTTATAACTCAATAATAAAAAGACAAACACCCCAATTGAACATTAGCAGAGGCTCTGAATAGACATTTCTACAAAGAAGATAAGAAAAGCCAGTAAGCACGTGAAGAGATGCTCAACATCATTAATCATTAGGGAAATAAAATTCAAACCCAAATGGGATAACACTTTACTCTTACTAAGATGGATATATTTTTAAAACAAAAAATACAAGTGCTGGTGATAAAGTGGAGAAATTATACCCTCATACATTGCTGGTGAGAATTTAAAATCATGTAAACCAAGACATGCACATAAACGTCAGGATTCCTTGCATACGTCAGGGATGTTAAAAGGCTCTCTAGATCTTTCTTTTTTAAGTTTTTGGCCTGGCTCTTGATTACCCTAACTATTATTTCAGGTTCAGGCAGCTGTGATGTTTAACTGAGTCATTAAAAAAAAAAAAAATACCTTGCTAATAGAGTTTTTCTAGGGAGCTGCAAGACAGGTCAAATGGGAACAATGATCTGTAGAAGGTACGTTCTGTGGAGTTCCAAACTTGGTCTTTCTCCTCTGGTAGTTGTTATACTGCTGATTTTCTAAGCTACTACAGAGCTTAGAAAGAAGAATGTGAGTATGTCAAGTTTAATTTTACCAAGGCATAGCAGAATTTCTTTGATTTTCTTGAATACTTGGATAAGTATTTATCACATTGTTGTAAGTCTTCCGTTAACTTTCAAAACTATAAAAAAGTTGATCTTGTCAATTTTTTCAGTGTTTTTATTATCTTCATGGAAGAGATGATTTACTGATTTCTTCAGTCTACCATTAGGCCACCTAGTTTATGTTGCATGTGATGTGTAGTCCATATATAGAAGAAAAGGGCATCTGGGAACCTATTTATTATATAATTTGATGAAACCTGATGAATAAACTCTGTTTTTTCAACAATTATCCACTTTGAAGATTTTTGTTTGTGCTGACTTGATAGCTTTTTTTTTCTACTCAAAGAGCAAACTGCACTCCATTTTACATATCATAATAATAGCTAACTAATGGCTAAGGTTTTTACATTGCCCATTTAAAAATTCTCACAGAGACTTTCATAAAGTGGGTAAAAACGAATAATTCAGAAGATTATTTGAGTATAAGTTTATTCTACCATTAAGTTTCTCTGAACCTATGCATCCAAAAGAGTCCAAAAATCATTTAAAGCATGGAAACTAAACATACTCACACTATGCTACCAAACCACAAACATTTTACTCCATTTTGTTTAAAGGCACCAAGCTTTTTCCTATTTCAGTCAAAATTATTCTAGTCACCTTAACTACCATAGTTTAGCAAAACCTAGAAACCAATTGGTCTTTGGACACTTATAAAAACTAACTCCAACATTATATTACAAACGCTTGGTATCGTTAATGCTATGTGAAAAATAATGTGGTAAATTTAGAAAAAATTCCATGAAAGACTTGACTTCTGGCAGCATAATGAAAATAATAATAAATATTCCTATGGAGATGGCTTTGAGTAACTTCACTCACTAAACATTTTATATATATGTATACATATACATATATGTATACATATGTGTATATATGTACATATATGTATACATATATACATATATGTGTACATATATACATATATGTATACATACACATATATACACATATACACATATATATACATATATACATATACACATATATACGGATATATACGCACATATATGTATATACACATATATATACACATATATATACACATATATATACATATATACATACATATATATATCTACTGCACTGCTAATTAAAAATTCATTATTTAATAGTCTTAACTATGAGAAACAGCCACGATAAAGTGACCTATCACTACAAAATTATGATTTCTTTGAAATTCTTGCTGTAGTTATAATTCCGTCTTTTTGTCCTTATATGCATATATCTCTATATCCAACTTATCAAAAGTAATTATTTGATTCCCCAAACCAAAACTGGAGTACAAAATTTACAGCATAGTAAGTCTTAAAGTATCAAATATTCTTAAATTGCCAGTATTGAACTTATATATTTTAAATATAGTTTTACAGTTAGTACTTGAATTTTCTTTCTGAACTTCTCTCTCCGTGGAGCAAGATAAGTAAAACTTTAAAAGATAGTTTATTTAAGTAACATGTAACAACTTCCAGAAGGCTTGTTTTTTGTACATTGGGTTATTTTTATCATCTAAATTATACAAATGTCATTGTTTATATTAGTGGAGATTCTCTAAGCCCTGGAAATTAAAGTTTCATATGGGTGGCAGGAAAGTCTAGAGACACATGGGTCATGAAAAGATAAAAAGAACTGGAGTTTTGTAACGCTTTGATTTATTCAATTTCCTGAGTACACAGAGATAATTAAGCTTCATAATAGCTACCTCATGATTGAGCCCTCTTATCATTAATAGTTCTATTTTACAGAATTACTTTAAAGAGGCATAGAAAGCCTAATGATCAAAAGTTGGCTTTATTTTTAGGACTGCCAATGGGCATCAGCAAGTGTTTCTAAAATTTCTCAATAAAAATTTTCTTACTATGTTAATATATTTGAAATATATAACACTATTATATAAGAATATCTAAAGACATACATACACATATGAATTTTATATATATATATATATATATGTATATAACCATATAGAGGCATTGAGTTGTTTCATAAAAATGCAGAATCCAGAAAAAACAAGAATGATTTCTGAAAGTTAACCTACCAAAATCCACTTACTACAGACTTTGTGAGAATCAACAAGATGTGTCTAAAATATACAAAACAGAACTGTGGCAGTACCCCTAAAATTCTTTTATGCTGTTATTGGTGTAATCTCAGTGAGAACTAATTATTTTTTATTTTAGTTAGAAGAAACCTAATTAAGAGGCACTGTACAAGTTTGGATCATGATGATGATAATGATGGTGATAAAAACAATAATGAATTTTTGGGTGCTATGTGCTAGGCACTGAATTCATAGTTTAATTCTGGCATAATAGCTCTCCTTATACAACTGTATCTTTCTATATAAAAATGTATTTCTATTATTAACCATTTATTTTTTGTTTCTTAGATACTAAAAATTAACTTTATATACATTATACACATCATACATTCATAGGTGCTTGCTTCATGAGGTTTTGCCATTAATCTTACTTTTAATAGATGAATACTACATGATTAGTTATGAAACATGTTCATAAATATATGAGACACATCTTCTATAGACTTTTGAAATACATGGAGATAATTTTGCAGGGATGCTGCTTGGCCTTTAGCACTACCATGAAAATGATGAGCCAGCTAATATGGGTCACAAGCAAGTACTCAGAGTCATTTAGTCATAAATGACTACTTCTAATATGAAGCCAGTTTAACATGATCGTCTACAAATGCTAAAGGCTGTAGTTATCTAATTCATGTGTTGGTCAGATCAATTTGTGACTAGTCCTTCAGAAAATAAGTGGAATGAAAATATCTAATGACTGTTACAGTTTGTCAACTGTGATAATTCCAGGGAAGTTCATTTCTTTTCTGCACATCGTAGAATCAGAACAAATGATAGTAGAAATGAGCACTTCAAAGGAAGCAGTCATGTTTTACCTAATTTAAACTGTATATACAAAAACATTTTTTAAGAAATCTTTCTTTTGTAGTTATTCTGTTGATTTTGCTTTTCATATAGAAAGTAGTAGAGGCTTTACATAAAAATTTCCAGAATGCAACTGTGCTAAAAGAAAAGAAAAATTATATAAGAAAAAAGAAGTCAATGATAAAAACATATTTAGTTGTTGAAAGGCAAGCTAAATAATAGTATTTAAAAGCATAGTTTTTTAAAAAATAAAACAGTCTTAAGACTTCTGTCTCCCAAAATTAGCTTTGTGACTTTGACACATTTACTTCCATGATTTCATTTCTCGATGCTGATCTTTAAAATGTATAATAGTACCAAACTCATAGAGTGGTTACAGTGATAGATGATATAATGCATGTGAAGCATAATGATTAGCACATAGTGAGTATTCAATAACTCCTGTCGTGATTGTTATACTATTATACACAAATAATATAATAGTATACACAATATACTATTGGCATTTATTCATTTTAATAACACCAAAGTGTGTCAGAATTGAGAGGTTAGAAATTGTAGGTGACTTATTTGGGAATGTTTTCTCAATATACAAGCAAAGTCTTCTGCCTAGGTTGAATTCCATACAGGGCATGAGATATTTGAATATGTTGTAGAAATTCTATGGGAATATTTGCATTTTAATAGCTAATTTTAAAATTGTTGGTGATGCCAGCAAGATGGCAGAGTAAAAGGCCTTGGATTCTTATTTCTTTCACATACACATCAATTCAGCAACAATTCAGAGACAAATTCCCTTGTGAGAAATGAGAAACCAGTAGAAAATCTCCTGCACTCTGGGAGAATGTGAAGTCAGACTCCCTGTTTTAAGTCATGGTTCTCTAGAGGAATAGAACTAACAGGATAGATATATATATATACAAAAGGGAGTTTATTAAGGAGAATTGACTCACACGATCACAAGATGAAGGCCCACAATAGGCCATCTGCAAGTTGAGGAGCAAGAAAACCAGTAATGGCTCAGACTGAGTCCAAAAACCTCAAAAGTAGGGAAGCCAACAGTGCAGCCTTCAGTCTGTAGCCAAAGGCCCAAGAGCCCCTGGCAAACCACTGGCATTAAGTTCAAAAGTCCAAAAGCTGAAGAACTTGGAGTCTGATGTTAGAGGGCAGGAAGCATCCAGAATAGGAGAAAGATGAAGGCTGGAAGACTCAGAAGTCTGGCTGCTTTTTCTAGCCATGCTGGCAGCCAATTTGATGGTGCCCACCCAGATTGAGGGTGGGCCTGTCTTTCCCTGTCCGCTGACTCAAATGTTAATCTCTTCTGGTAGCACCCTCAAAGACACACCCAAGACTCCACGAAGCTCTTTCTGTCAGACTGAAGGCCTTGGTGGAGTGGGTTTATAAGGAGATCTTCTGACCTGAGGATTGCAAAGATCCATGGACGAAGTATGGGTTTCTAGGGTCACACATTCAATCACAGTCTCCCTGGGTGGGGGAGGTTCCCCTGGCTCAGAGTGACAAGCTGGATAAAAAAGCAAGATCCAATGGTATGCTGTCTTTCAGAGACCTATCTCACATGTAATGACACTCAATGACTCAAAATACAGGGATGGAGGAAAATCTACCAAGCAAATGGAAAACATAAAAAAGCAGTGGTTGCAATCCCAGTTTCAGACAAAAACATATTTCAAACCAACAAAGGTCAAAAAAGACAAAGAAGGGCATTACATAATGTTAAAGGGTTCAATTCAACAATAAGACCTAACTATTCTTAATATCTCTGCACCCAGCACAGGAGTACCCAGATTCATAAAGCAGGTTCGTAGAGACCAACAAAGACACATAGACTCCCACACAATAATAGTGGGGTTGACAGTATTAGATTATTGAGGCAGAAAATTCACAAAGATATTCAGGACCTGAACTCAATACTGGACCAAATGAATCAGATAGACCTCTACAGTATTCCTCATCCAAAGGCAACAGAATATGCAGTTGTCTCATCATCACATGGCACATACTCTAAAATCAACCAAACGATTGAACATAAAACAATCCTCTACAAATTCAAAAGAAACAAAATCGTATCACATATACTGTCAGGTGACAGCACAATCAAAATAAAAGTCAAGAATAAGAAAATTGCTCAAAACCATGCAATTAGATGAAAATTATACAACATGCTCCTGAATGACTTTTGTTAATAATGAAATTAAGGCAGAAATCAAGAAGTTCTTTGAAACTAATGAGAACAAAGATACAACATACAAGAATCTCTGAGACACAGCGAGGCATTGTTAATAGAAAAATTCATGGCACTAAATGCCCACATCAAAAAGTTAGAAAAATCTAAAATTAACAACCTAATTTTACAAGTAAAAGAATTAGAGAAGCAAGAACAAATCAACCCCAAAGCTACTAGAAGACAAGAAATAACCAAAATCAGAGCTGAACTGAAGGAAATCAAGATATGAAAAACTATTGGAAAGATCAGCAAATCCAGGAGTTGTTTTTTTTTTTTGAAAAAAAATTAATAACAGATAGACCTCTAGCTAGACTAAGAAAAGAGGGAATATCCAACTAAAGACTATTAGAAATGATCAAGAAAATGTTACCACTAACCCCACAGAAATAAAAACAAACCCCAGAAACTACTACTAACACCTCTATGCACACAAACTAGAAAACCTAGAAGAGATGAATAAATTTATGGACACATACACCCTCCCAAGACTGAGTCAGGAAGAAATTGATTCCTTGAACAGACCAATAACAAGCTATGAAACTAAATCAGTCATAAATAGCCTACTAACAACAATAACAACAAAAACTTAGAACCTCAAGGATTCACAGCTGAATTCTAAAACATGTAAGAAGAAGAGCCGGTAGCATCCCTACAGAAACTATTCCAAAATGTTGAGGTGGGGGGACTCCTCTGCAACTCATTTTTTAAGGCCAGTATCATCTTGATATTGAAACCCAACAGAGACATGACACAAAAGAAAACTTCAGGCTAATATCCTGGACGAACATTGATGCAAAAATTCTCAACAAAATACTTGCAAACTGACTTCAGCAGCACATCAAAAAGCTAATCCACCATGATCAAACAGGCTTCATCACCAGAATGCAAGGTTGGTTCAACATACACAAATCAATACATGTAATTCACCACATAAACAGAACTAAAGACAAAAACCACATGATTATCTCTATAAATAAATAAAAGGCTTTCAATAAAATTCAACAACGCTTCAAGTTAAAAACCCCAAATAAACTAGGTATTGAAGGAAAATACCTCACCCACAGCCAATATTGTACTGAATGGGCAAAAGCTGAAAGAATTACCCATAAAAACTGGCACAAGACAAGGATGCCCTCTTTCACCACTTCTATTCAACATGGAAGTGAAAGTCCTAGCCAGAGCAATCAGGCAAGAGAAAGAAATGAAGGCATTCAAATAGGAAGAGAGGAAGTCAAACTATTTCTGTTTGCAGATGATATAATTCTGTGTCTGGAAAACCCCAAACTTTTGGCCCAAAAGCTCCTTCCACTAATAAAAAAACAATTCAGCAGTTTCAGGATACAAAATCAATTTACAAAGATCACTAGCATTCCTATACACCAACAACAGCCAATCTGAGTGCCAAATAAAAAAGGTAATCCCATTCATAATTGCCACAACAAGAATAAAATAGCTGGGAATACAGCTTACTGGGGGGGGGTGAATGATATCTACAATGAGAATTACAAAACACTGCTCAAAAAAATCATAGAAGACACACAAAAAAATGGAACAACATCCAATGCTTGTGGATAGAAAGAATGAACATCATTAAATGGCTATATTGCCCAAATTATAGATTCAATGCTATTCCTATTAAACTACTGACCACATTCTTCACAGAAGTAGAAAAAACTATTTTAAAATTCATACGGAAACAAAAAAGACCCTGAATAGCGAAGGCAATTCTATGCATAAAGAACAAAGCTGGAGGCATCATGTTACCAAACTTCAAACTACCATACAGGCCTACAGTAACCAAAACAGCATGGTACTGGTACAAAAACAGGTACATAGACCAATGGAACAGAATCGAGAGCCCAGAAATAAGGCTGTACACCTATGATCTCCTCATCTTCAACAATAAAAAGAGGACATTTATGTGGCCAACCAACATACGAAAAAAAGCTCATCATCACTGGTCATTAGAGAAATGCAAATCAAAACTGCAATTAGATACCATCTCATGCCAGTTAGAATGGCGATCATTAAAATGTCTGGAAACAACAGATGCTGGTGAGGATGTGGAGAAATAGGAACACTTTTACACTGTTGATGGGAGTGTAAATTAGTTCAACCATTGTGGAAGACAGTGTGGCGATTCCTCAAGGATCTAGAACCAGAAATTCCATTTGACCCAAAGGATTATAAATCATTCTACTATAAAGACACATGTACGTGTATGTTTATTGCAGCACTATTTACAATAGCAGACTTGGAACCAACCAAAATGTCTATCAGTGATAGACTGGATAAAGAAAATGTGGCACATATACACCATGGAATACTATGCAGCCATAAAAAAGGATGAGTTCGTGTCCTTTGCAGGGACAGGGATGAAGCTGGAAATCATCATCCTCAGCAAACTAACACAGGAACAGAAAACCAAACACCGCATGTTCTCACTCATAAGTGGGAGTTGAACAAGGAGAACACATGGACATAGAAAGGGGAACATCACACACTGGACACACACTGCAACGACTCAGACAGTACTGCATATGCCAACCTTTTTACATTTAATTTTATTCTAAGGAAGGCAAAATATTTAAATACTCTCAAAGTTTATAAAACATGTTCAGCAAAATCTAACTTCTATCAATGCTCTCTTCCCCTTTTTTCTCTCTCCTTCTACAGATAATACTTTTCTTAATTTTATGTTTTATTCTTACATTTTGGGGATTTTTTTATCGATACAACTGTACATGTATATGGGGTACATGTGATATTTTGATACATGTATATGATGTGTAATAATCAAATCAGTGTAACTGGGACATTTCTCACCTCAAATATTTTTCTTTGTGTTGGGAAAATTACAATTCTTCTCTTCTAGCTTTTTTGAATATATAATGAATTATTGCTAACTATATTTTCGCTAATGTACTATTGAGTACTAAAACTTGTTCCTTCTGTGTAACTGTATTTCTTCACCCATTAACCAACTTGTCTGTATTCTTTCTTTCTGCTTCCATGTCCAGCCTCTGATAACCACCATTCTACTCTCTACCACCATGAGAACCACTATTTTAGCTCCTACATATGAGTGAGAACATGTAATATCTGTCTTTCTGTGCCTGGCTTAGTTCACTTTACATAATAAACTCCAGTTCTATCTATTTTGATGGAAATGACAATTTATTTTTTACAGCTGAATAATATTCCGTTATGTGTATATACCACACTTTCTTTATCCATCCATCCGTTGATGGATGCTTAGGTTGCTTCCCTGTTTGGCTATTGTTAATGGTGCTGCAATAAACATGGGAGTGCAGATACGCCTTCAAAATACTAATCTCCTTTCTTTGGGCTATATACCCAACAGTGGAATTATTGAATTATATGGTAATTGTATTTGTAGTTTCTTCTGAGAAATCACCATACTCTTTTCCTTAATGGCTGTATCGTTTTACATTTCAACCAACAAGGTACAAATGTTCCTCTTTCTTTGCATACTCTCCATCTTGTGTTAGTTTTGTCTTTTTGATAATAGCCATTCTATCTGGGTAAGATAATATCTCATTGTGGTTTTAATTTGCAATTCCCTGATGATTACTAATATTGAGCATTTGTTCATATACTTGTTGTCTATTCATATGTCTTCATTTGATAAATGTCTATTCAGGTCTTTTGCCCATTTTGTTGTTAAATTATTTGGGGCTTTTTGCTATTGAGTTATTTGACATCCTCATATAACATAGTTATTAATCTCCTGTCAGATGGATAGTCTGCAAATAATTTTCCCATTTTGTAGGTTGTCTCTTCACTTTGTTAATTGTTTTCTTTGCTGTGCAGAAGCTTTTTAGCTTGATATAATCCCCTTTGTCTACTTTTGATTTTGTTGCCTGGGCTTTTGAGGTCTTAGTCATAAAATATTTGCTCTGACCAATGTCCTGGAGCATTTTTCCAGCGTTTTCTTTTAATCATATAATAGTTTTAGGATCTTTCGTGTAAGTGCTTAATTCATTTTGAGTTTAATTTTTTTTAGGGTGAAAGGTGAAGATCTAGTTTTATTCTTCTGTATATGAATATCTAGTTTTTTTTTCTGTGTCACTTCCTAAGGGGACTTCATTTCCCATTATATGTTCTTGGTGCCTGTGTTGAAAACCAATTGGCTGTATGTGTGTGGATTTATTTCTGGGTTCTCTATTGTGTTCCATTGGTCTATATGTCTGTTTTAATGCCAGTGCCATCCTGTTTTGGTTACTACAGCTTCATAGTACAATTTAAATCCAGTTAGTGTGATGTCTCCAGACGTGTTCTTTTTGATAAGGATTGCTTTAGCTATTAAGGGTCTTTTTTGGTTCTATATGAATTTTAGGATTTTAAAATTTTTTTGAAGAATGTCACTGGTATTTTAATAGATATTACATTTAATCTGTCAATCAGTTTGTGCAGTATAAATATTTTAACAGTATTCTTCCAATCCATGAGTGTGGGATATTTTTTCATTTTTTGTGTCTTCTTCAATTTCTTTCTTGAGGGTTTTACCATTTTTCCTATAAGGATCTCTCATTTCTTTGGTTAAATATATACTTGGGTATTTTATTTTTTATAAAGTAAGTGGAATTGCTTTTTTGATTCCTTCTTGGATTGGTTGCTGTAAACATGTAGAAACACTACTGATTTTCATATGTTTCTTTTGTATCCTGCAACTTTAGTGAATTAATTTATGAGTTTAAAGAGTTTTTTGGTGGAGACTGGGGTTTTCTAAATAAAATATTATATCATCTGAAAACCAGGATAATTTGAATTCCTTCTTTCTAATTTGGTCTTTTTTTCTCTCTCTTTTGAGTAATTGCTCTGGCTACAACTTCCACTACTGTGTCAAATAAAAGTAGTACAAGTGAGCATGCTTATCTTGCTCGAGATCTTAGTGGTAAGGCTTCAGGTTTTTTTTTTTTCATTCACTATGATGTTAGCTGTGGACTTGTCATATATAGCCTTTATTATTTTGAGTAAAGTTTCTTCTATTTCTAGTTTATTGAGAGTTTTTCTCATGAAGGGGTGTTTAATTTTATTAAATGCATTTTCAGCATCTATTGATATAATTATACAATTTTGCTCTTGATTCTGTTGGTGTGATGTATCACATTTAGTAATTTCTATATGTTGAACCATTCTGGCATCCCTGCTAAGCATCCCAATTGATCATGGTGAATAATATTCTTAATATGTTGCTGGATTTGGCTTGCTGGTATTTTGTTGAGGATTTTTATGTTCATATTTATCAGAGTTATTGGTCTGTAGTTTTCTTTTTTTGTGCTATTTTTGTCTGGTGTTTGTATCAGGGTAATGCTGGTCTCATAGAATCAGTTAGAAAATGTTTTCCCCTCTTCAGTTTTTTTGAAATAGAGTGGAATTAGTGTTCTTCTTTTAATACTTGGTAGAATTCAGCAGTTAATCCATCAGGCCTTTGCTTTTCTTTAATGGGATATTTTTAAATTACTGCTTTCTTCTTATTGCTCATTACTGGCCTGTTTAGGTTTTCTATTTCTTCATGTTTCAATCTTAGTTGGTTTATATGTCCAGGAATTTATTAATTTCTTCCAGATTTTCAATTTTTTTGGCTTACAGTTTTTTACATTATTCCCTAATGATTTTTTTTTTTTTTTTTGCGTTACTGTGGTATCATTTGTAATGTTTCATTTTTTAATTTTGTTTTGGTCTTCCATTTTGTTTATTTGGGTCCTCTCTTTTTTCCTATTCTGGCTAAAGGTTTGTCATTTTGTTTATATTTTTAAAAAACCAAATTCCTATTTTGCTAATTTATTATCATTTAGTTTATTTCTTTTCCAACATTATTTATTTTCTTCTACTAATTTTAGAATCAATTTGTTCTTGCTTTTATTGTTACTTGAGTTGCATCAGACTGTTTATTTGGAGTCTATTTTTTGATGTAGGTATTTATTGATATATAAACTTTCATCTTAGCACAGCTTTTGCAGTTTCCCATAGGTTTTGATAGGTTGTGTTCCCATTTTTATTGATTTTAAGACATTTTTGAAATTTCTCTATAACTTCTTTATTGACTGGTCATTTAGGAACAAGTTTAATTTCGATGTGCACAGATTTCAAAACTCCTCTTCTTATTGATTTTGCATTTTATTTTATTGTGATCAGAAAATATTCTTGATATAACTTCAACATTTTTGGCTTTGTTGAGACTTGTTTTTAGGCCTAACATATGGGTCTATCCTGGAGAATGTTCTTTGTGCTGATGAGAAAGAATTGCATATTCTTTAGAAGTTGGATGAAATCTTTATTTCAATATCTGTTAGGCCCATTTGTTCAAGCGTATAGCTTAACTTTGATGCTTCTTTGTTGATATTCTGCCTGGATGATATTTCCATTGCTGAAAGTATATTGCTGAAAGTGGTGTTTTGAGGTCTCTTTCTATTATTATGTTGCAGTCTATCTCTCTTTTAGATATATTAATATTTGCTTTATATATTTGATTGCTTTGCCATTGGGTGCATATGTCTATCTATCCATAGATAGATAGATGTATTTATAATCCTTATATCTTCTTGCTAAATTGACCACTTTATCATTATATAATAATCTTCTTTGTCTCTTTTTACAGTTTTGACTTAAAGTCTATTTTTATCTGATGTAAGTATAGCTACTTCTGCTCTTTTTTGGTTTTCATTTGTATGGAATCACTTTTTCCATCTGTTCATTTTCAATCTATGTGTGTCTTTATAGTGGAAGTTTCTTATAGGCAGCATATAGTTGGGTCTTGTTTTTTAATCCATTCCTCTCTATGACTTTTAATTGGAAAATTTTGTCCATTTACAATGTTATTATTAGTAACTAAGGACTTACTCATGTTATTGTTCTACTTATTTTCTAATTGTTTAAGTTGTTTTATTTTCTCTTCCTTTTGAACCGTCTTCTTTTGTGGTTATGTAATTTTCTAGAAGTATGTTTTAATCCACTGCTTTTTATTTTGGGTATATATATTATAGGTTTTGTTTTGTGGTTACCATGAGACTTAAACAAAATATCCTATAGTTATAGGATATTTTTTAAACTGATGAAAATTTACTGTGATTACCAATCAAGAAAATAAACAAACCAAAAAATACTTTACACAGTAATTTCCTTCTCCCCTGAAATTCTGAATTTTTAATGTAAGAATTTACATCTCAACAAATCATTGTAGTTATTAATATTTTCATAGTTTTATTTTTTAGTATTCTTACTAAAGATATATGTGGTTTAAACATCATGGTTACAATATAAGTAAACAATCACATTAGCATCTTTTTTCAGTTTTAATCATTCCCTTTATCATTTCTTGTAGGACAGGTCTTATAGTCATCAAGTCCTTCAGCATCTGTTTGTCTGGGAGTCTTTTTATCTCCTTTATTTCTGTAGGACAACTGTGCTGGGTACAGTATTCTTGTTTGTCAATTTGTTTTTTGTTCCTTCTGCACTCTCTATATTTTGTTCCACCACTTCCTGGTATGTAGTATTTCTTCTGAGAAGCCTGATGCCAGTCATATTGGATCTCCCTTATATGTTATTTTCTTATTTTCTCTCTCTGCTCTCAGCATACTTTCTCTATCTTTGACTTTTGAAAGTTTGATTATGATATGTTTCAAAGTATTTTTATTTGGGTTGAAAATATTTGGTGACTTTTGACCTTTCTGTACCTGGATATGTATGTCTTCCTCCAGGTTTGGACAGTTTTATGTTATTATTTATTTTGAAAGACTTTTTACCTGTTTGTCTTTCTCACTTTCCTCCTTTACTTAACAAGTCAACTATTTGCTCTTTTTATGTCATCCTATAGATCCTGTAAACTTTGTTCATTCCTTTTCATTGTTTTTATTTCTCCTCTGATTTTTATTTTCTAAGATTTTCTTCAGGCTCACTGATTCTTTATTCTGTTTGATCAGTCCTGATGTTCATGTTTTCTATTGCATTTTTTATTTCATTATATTTTTCACCTTTGAAATTTCTGTTTGATTTTTTTAAATTATTTTATTCTTTGTGTTAATTTTTTCATGTACATATCTGAATTAATTCTCTGTGTTTTCTTGAAGTTTGTTGAGCTTCCTTGCAATAGCTACTTTGAATTCTTTGTTTAAAATACACATCTCCACCACTTTATCATAAGACCTTATTGTATCCCTTTGATGAGGTCACATTTCTTTCAATGTTGATGCTATGGAAGTTTGATGATGTCTACTTATTGAGGAATTCGATTTTCTTTTCAGTCTGTCTTTGTTTGTGCCTGTCCTTCTTCAGAGGACCTTCCAGGGATTCTAAGCCAACTGGCTTTTTGTGTCCTGAGTCTGTGACCACCTCAGCCATCTCAGAACTAGAAAAGGCTTTAAGCCCAGACTTGCCATGAATCTTGTTAGGGCTCCAAGTTTATGTGGCTTCCCAGTGCTGAAGGATGTGGGGAAGATCCAGTGAGGATCCTGGGGTTGTGTGGAAATGCTGGCCAGGGGCTTGAGTCCAGAAGACTGTCCCCGTGGCCCAGATGAGTATACATCTTAGAAGGTCTCTGCACAGGTGTGATGGGTCCATGATTGCAAGGAGAGGAGCTGGAATTGAGATTGGGCCCCTTCAGCATCTGCTGTGGGAGAGGGGCTGATGGGCCTGCGTAATTGGCTTAGATTGGCATGTGTCACACAACAGATCCCTATAAAAGTGTGGTAGTTCTTTGATTAAAACAGGAGGGGCCAGAGCTGAGACTGGGCTTTCTTAGGATATGATTTATGATGGAGGCTGGTGTGCTTCTCATATTAGCTCAGATGGATGCACATTTCCTAGTTGTTCTTCACATAGATAGGATAGTTTCCAACTGCAGCAGGAGAGGCTGGAGTTTAGACTTGAATCCCAGGGGAACCAAGTATTGGTATCCACTGTGGGAAGAGAGGTTGAAGAGTCTGGTCTCCACTCAGGGGTGGACATTACTGCAGTGGGAGGAGCTGAAGCTGAGACTGAGACACTTTGGGATCTGTTGTGGGACAGAGATATCAATCCTGTTAGACAGGCTCAGATTCCCAGGCTGTGAGATACTGGTGAGTCTCCCTGTTGATTCATATGTATGCTGCTCTGATCGGGGATCTAAGCTGAGGAAAGCTGGAGCAGTGCCTCAAAGCAATTTCAGGTTCTCTGCTGGATTATTGTCAGCAGGCAGGTGAACATTTCTGCCAAGGCACTACTATGTGCAATTCCTTCTGGACTCCTTGGCAGATAGTTTTGTTTGCAGGCTCAAGGCCCAATTGGGCTGTGACCAAGTTCCTTGGGAAACTAGGCTATTTCCAACCTTAAACCCAGAGGCAAGCTTGGTGGGGTAGATCAGCCAATTGGTTGTCAGTCTTTACTCTCAAAAAGATGCTCCTAGGTCTTGGGCTCTACCAGGGTTTCACAAGCATCTATTCAAATTCTGAGCCTCCCATAGAAACATTTTTGACTGTGAATGCATGCAATATTCTTGTTGTGGGGAGATATGAGAGGGTTATCTTCTATTTTGACATCATGGTGACATTATTCTCTTTATTCTTCTATTATTTTTAATATAAGTGTATAGATATATGATAGATTTATAGACTGATCAATAGATGCATATATGCATATCTACTCATTATCTATCTGCCCTATACACGTTCACAAATACAAATCTTGTGCTAAATACACTGCAGTGGCATATACACATTTTTATCTACCTTATTTTTTAATTTAAAATTATGTATTCTAGTGATCACTCAATAGTAACATGTATATATGTTTGAGATGTTTAGCTCCAATAATTTAATATATTTTATTATATGGATTTTATACAAAATGCCTCTTAGTATATTTTTGATATTTAAGAATGTTTTATTTTTAATTGTTAACTATATATTAATATCCTTTTATTGTATCTCAAGTCTATTTCTTAATTGGCTTTCTAATATGGCCAACACTGAAATTGCCTAGTTACCTCCTATTTTCTCAGCATTCTCTGCCATTCAGCATTTCATTGAAAGTATAACCCTTTTCCTACTATCAGTGAATAACAGTATGTCAATTATTTATCTTATACTTTTCATATACACTCCCATTTATACCCAGTTTTAATGGTTGTTCTATATATACATTATTAAACAAAATGGTCATTATATTGTATTCTGTGATGTGGTTTGGATTTCTGTCCCTTCCTAAATCTCATGTCAAATTGTAATCCGCAGTGTTGGAGAAGGGGCCTGGTGGCAGGTGACTTGATCATGGGGGCAGATTTTTCTCTTGCTCTTCTCATGATAGTAAGTGAGTTATCATGAGACATGGTTGTTTAAAAGTGTGTAGCACCTCCCCCTTTGATCTCTTCCTCCTGTTCCAGCCATGTAGGACATGCCTGCTTTCCCTTTGCCTTCCACCATGATTGTAATTTTCCTGAGGCCTGTCTAGCCATGCTTCTTGTAAAGCCTGCAGAACCATGAGCCAATTAAACCTTTTTTCTTTATAAATTACCCAGTCTTAGTTCTTTATAGCAGTGTGAGAATGGACTAATATATTCTGTACCTTAGTTTTATAGGTAAAATTTAATGATCACCGACAATCCATAAACTAGTATCTCTACAGTAATTTTGCCTTTCTGAATTTATTCTTTATTCCTCAAGAAGTTTACAGAGAAGTTCCCAAGATGACACTTGATCTCACTGTACTTCATAGCCAGAAAATTATCAATAAATATTGGCATCATTTTAAAAGGATTCAGGAGCAAACTTGAGGAATCTCCCATTGCTCAAATATGATACAATTTAAGTGCCAATAAAGTAATAACTATGATACATATATACCTCAATATGTTTAATTCTGTGAACTAAAAATGATACTCAAAAAAATCCATCATTGGTGAACTTAGGAAGATGCTAGTTATTTTAAGCTGGCTTGGTGTATTTTTTTCTATATTTTTATTTTAAACAACTATAATATTATATTTAAAGTTTATTTCTTTTAAATATAGTTAGATCATTTAAAAATAATTCTGCCAATCTCTGCTTTTTAACTGGTATGTTTAAGCTATTTATAATGTAATTATTTGTATATTAGGACCTAGGTCTGCCATTTTTGTTTGCTTTGTGTTTGATCCCTTTGTGTTGCATTCCTCTGTTTCACATTTCACTTCTTCCTCTAAGTGCCTTGAATATTTTTTAGAGTTCCATTTTGTCTCATCTGTGTGTTTAAGATTTTTTAATAGTATTTTAGTGGCTTCTTCAGATATTGCATTATACATATATAATTTACGATCTGCTAGTGTAAGCTTTTCAGCAGCCTAAGACAAATGTAGACAATTTATCTCCACTTCAATCCCTTTGTCTTCATGTATTCAACATATAAATTTTTTTAAATGTGTTTCTCTACATAGATTGAAAAACTGCATTAGAGAGTGTTAAAAGCTTTTGCTTCAACTTTTTAACATAAAACTCAAAAGAAGGAAAGTATATTGTATATGATACAGACAGGAGACAGGGAAATACTGGATAGGAGAAGGTGGTTCCCTGGCAAAGGCCCCACCCTCAAGCCTGGAAACCCACAGCCCTAAATGGGAACAGGCATTCACGTTGACTTTTGGCCTGCTGCACCCCCGTCCCCTGTACCCATATGAACCCCAGCTCCAAGAGCAGATGAGCAGATGAACAGGAGAGCAGAGGAGCAGAAGAGCAGCATGGCAGAGAAGGGGAGAAGAGGAGTGTCTGAATGTCAAGAGGAGTTCGGCTGGGGACGGTCGGAGAGGAGATTGGCTGTGTAATGGCCAAACTCCAGGGGAAGATCATCTTCCCACTCCATCTCCTTTCCAGCTCCCCATCCGTCCTGTGGAGAGCCATCTCCATCACCCAATAAAATCCCCACATTCACCATCTTTCAAGTCCGTGTGTTACCTGATTCTTCCTGGATGCCAGACAAGAACCTGGGTACCAAGAGGGCACTCAGCTGGTTAACACTTAAGCTGTCTGTAGATGGCAGAGCTAAGACAGCACTGTAGCATGCCCAGTGAGGCTTTGGGAACCACAGGCACACACCCCTAGATGCCACTGTGGGGCCGGAGCCCAAAAGCGCTCGCTCCGGCTCCTGCACCTGCTTGTCTGCATGCTTGCCCTCTGGTAGGGGGTTTAAGCAGCCATGGTGGCCAAACAGACAAGCCACACCCCTGTCACATGTCCTGTGAGGATGGTCTGGGAACTCTCTTGTTTCATATATATAGATACTATTGATGTTTTCATTGTTCTTTCTTTCTTCCTTCCTGATACTCCGTGATCCCTTCTGTAATATTTCTTTTCTGTTCGAAGAACTTTTCTTAGACATTTAACCACTCTTTATTTTCTCCTTCTGTGACAGCAATGACACAGATGCTAGCTCTTTTGTTACTGTTTTACAAGTATCTGAGGCTCTGTAATTTTTTCAGTCTATTTCCTATATGATGTTTAGATTTGTAAAGTCTAGTTCTTGCAGTCTATTATTCTCACAGGCTATCTTTAGGTTCACTTTTTATTTCCTCTGTCATTTCCAATCCATTTTTGAGCCCAAGTAGTAAGGTTTTTAAAATTATTTTGGTTTTCACATGTTTCATAATTCTAATTTGATTTTGGTTCTTTTTTATAATTTCTATTTATTTGGTAAAATTTTCTATGTTTACTTCAAGATAATTCATAATTGATTTATTGGGTATTTTTATTATGGCTGATTTAAAATTCTTGTCAGATAATTGTAGTATCTGATTCATGTCAGTGTTAGCATCTGTTAATCACTTTTTTTCATTCAAGTTTTGATTTTACTTGTTTGTAGTATGATGAGTTTTTGTTTCTCTGTTTTTGTATCTGGACATTTGGGGTATGATGTTAGGAGACTCTAGATCCTTTTTACATCATCTATTTAGCAGCCAGTCACCCAGTTTAGGTTTGGCAAATGGGGCCTGGCCTAGTTTTGTGGGCTGTGGTTCAAATGGCATTTAGTTTTGAGAGCCCCTTCAGTGCTATTCTGGTATGATTTCATTTTATGCTGCATAGAGGCCACTCTGAAAACCTGGGTGGTATTCCAAACTTTGGTTCAGTTATAAAACTTTTTGGCATATTTTCTTCTAGTAGCTTTTACGTGTGAATTGGTCAGGGGTCTTCTTAGTGTTTTCCTTATAATTGAAACAATTCCTTTATTTGTTCAGCTCTTCCTTTCTGGGATTTTCTTCTCCTTGTATTTGGGCAGGTGGTGGGTACTGCCTCCCATTCATTTTGGGGTGAGAAGTGGCTAAATTTAGACACCTTGCTCTGTTTTTGCTATAATCGCTGGCAATGGAGCAAAGTGTTTCTGTGGGCTGACTTCTTACACTGACTGAAAGTCAAGGTCCAAATTCCCCATTTTGTCTCCACTGACATCATGGAGGGAATAGAAACCCTCCCCAGGCCATCTTATATTTGGTCCCTGATTACATGGTGTCTGAAACAAAGGAATATTTTAGTTCATATTCTGTTCCTATAATGGAATATCATAGACTGGGTAATTTAGTAACAGAAGAGATTTATTTGGTTCGTGGTTCTGGAGGCTGAGAAGTCCAAGATCATGGGGCTGAGGTCCTCCTCCTGATATCTTATCATACCAGAGATCACATAATATGGTGGAAGGCATTACATGGTGAGAGAGTGAATGGGAAAAAGAAAACTAGGTTGAACTCCTCCTTTCATCAGGAGCCTACTCCTGTGATAAGTAACCCACTTCCATAATTATGAAATTTCTTCATTCATGAGGTAAGAGCCCTCATGACCTAATCAGTTCTTAAGGGTCGAATAGTAACAGTAATTAAATTTTAAAGTTAGTTTTGGAGGAGACATTTAAACCATAGCAAGAAAAGTGACTTTCTGAGCTACCTTCTGCTGCTGGATCGGAGTTGGAGATCACATTTTCTATTAGGTCTCCATTGACACCAGCAGTGAAGTAGGAAGGCACATCTCTGGACTGCCTGCCTGCTGCTAGCATGTCTACAGGGGTTTCAGGAGGACTTCAGTCATAGTCAGTCTCCCACTGACACCTCTGGGATGCAGAAGTTGCCCATGGTGTTTAGGGGTGGTAGCATGGGTATTAAAAAAAAAAAAAGTTTCCATCCTGTTGAGCTGCTACTTTCTTAGTTGTTACCTCCCATTTATAACTTGTCTTTGAACATATGCCTTAGCCACTGGGCTTGTCTTCATGTTTACTGAGGACAGACTTTAAATCTGAGTGACCAGATTTTAGAGACATAAATACAATTGTTTAATAAATGTGAGGATCTTGGGTGTCACCACTCTGTGGCCCAAATTCACATAACCAGCTGCTGATTTGACTCCAGTTGATCAAATCAACCAGCTGATTAACTCCAGTTAATTCAGCCTGCTTCTGAGTTCTAACACTGCTGCTATTGCACATACTTGCTCTGTGATGCCTACTTAGCCTTCCCACACACACAAACGCAGGTACTATATCTCAGACACAGGAATGTCTGTATTATTATCGTGCCTTGGCCCAAGACTTTTATTCACTTGTTTGGCTTCCCTGACACCAAAAGCAATGTGATCACTCTCTCTTTAGTAATGCTAATGGAAAATGCTCATTGAATGAGCAGCTGTCCTGAGACACAGCCTATTCAGCTATCCCTATTTCTTCACGAAGTTCAGTTCTTAATGGTTTGGAATTCTTTAAGTTTGCTTTCAGCACACATCCAGTGTGAAATTCCTATGGTAATGTATAATACATGTAACCTATATTAAAAGAGTAGATGCTAAACAGTGATAGCACAGTGATTTGAAAGACAAAACAAATGATGTTAGTCAATTCTGTCATTCAATGTGATATATTGTTTTCATATCTAAGTAAGTGAATGTATTTGTCTGTGAAACAGCCTCTTACCACTTTAAAAATTTCTCTTATTTTTTTTCTCCTTTGCCATTTTTTATTTGCTTATATTTGCTAGTTCTCCTTTCTTTCTTCATAATGGTAGGTTGTGTGTTGTTTATATTTGGGTTTTTTTAGATGTTTCTTTTGTGTAAAGTGTATAATTCAGCCTTGATTCGTGGGTAAACATGAAAAAATATTTTTATTTTTAGAGATGTGTTAACCCTATTTATATTTGATAATATGACTAATATATTTGGTCTTATATTTGTCAAGTATTTATAATTAGGTATATTTTAATATTTTTATGAGGTGTATATTATTTACTTTTTTGGTAGTCAATGATTTATTCATTTATCTAAGAGGTTGTATTTTGTTGTAGTGGATATCTTTTTTTCTTATAACTTTCTAATGTACTGTTTTCTTATTTAAACTTTATTATCTGGATTGTGAATCACTAATCATGATGTTTAATACCTATTTATAGCTATAAAATGATGAGTTCATCTCGTTTTTTTCCTTTCTTCTCATTTAAAAAATTTCATTATTTTTTAATTATCCTAACCTGTAACAATTGTACTTTATTATTCCACCTCTGCTCACATGTTTGCGTTAGTCTTAGGTTTATAATTGTAAATATTAAAACACTCACTATTAGGTATTTTGGTGAAATTTCCTTGGTCTTCTCTTGTGTGGATGAAGCTCATGCTCTAATAAAAGCCTCTAAAAGGTTTCATGAGTACAGAAATCAAAAGTTCTTGTATGTTGAAAGCTCTATTACTCAGGCCTTGATATTTGAGTGACAGTTTGGCTGAATATATAATCTCACACTCATTTTATTTCTTAGACTTTAAAATGTAATTCTATTTCTTTATTCTTTGCTTTATTTATTTATCGTAAAGCCTAATGCTAGGGTTGATGAAAAGTGTCAAACTCTGTAAGATATTTGAAGAGATTTATTCTGAGCCAAACATGAGTGACCATGACCCATGACACAGCCCTCAAGAGATCTTGAGAACATGTGCCCAAGGTGGTCGGGGTGCAGCTTGGTTTTATACATGTTAGGGAGATAGAAAGGCATCACAACTTGAGGGTGGGGATCCAGTTTATAGGTAGATTTAAAAATGTTCTGGTTGACAATAGAAAGGAATATCTGGGTTATGATAAGAGATTAAGGAGATCAAAGTTCTATCACGAAGTTCAGTAGATGAAGCCTCCAGGTAGCAGGCTTCAGAGAGAATAGGTTGAAAAATGTTTGTTATCAGACTTAAAGTCTGTGTTGATGTTAATGCCAGAAAGGTATAATGAGGCATGTCTGACCCCCACTTTCCATCATGGCATGAACTAGTCTTTCAGGTTAAATTTTTAAAAGAGCCATGGCTAAGGAGGAAGTTCATTCAGATGGTTGGGGGCCTTAAAATTTTATTTTTGGTTTACACTAGGAAAGACTCCTTGACATTTTAATTTTTCTTTCACCTGGAGGATTTGAAGATATTTTTTCTTCTTTTCTATTTGTTTTACTATGTGAGGTCTTAGATTCTATATTTTTTAAAGTTAATTTACCCAAATAATAGGCAGTCACTCTCATTATATATTTTGAGATTTTATTTTGGAAATTTTGAAAATTCTATTTTGGAAATTAATTTACTCCTCTTGATTGTTTTATTCTTTTTATTCAAGGACTCCAATCCTATGAATATTCTTCCTTCCTTGTTTATTTCTATTTCCACCATTTTCTCTCAGACCATTTTTTCTTTTAATCTCATTTTCATTTTTCATTGTCTTATTTTTGTTATGACATTGTCATTTGATCTTAAATTTCATTGAACACGTTGTGATTTTTCTTTTTGTTTATTATTATTATTGAGAAGGGACTCTTGCTTTGTCGCCCAGGGTGGAGTACAGTGGCAGAATCATGGCTCACTGCAGCCTGGAACTCCAGGGCTCAAGTGATCCTCTTGAAGCAGGAGACGTGAGGGGAAAAACAAATTTTCTTTCTTTCCTTTGGTATGAACAGCTTCCCTCTTGAATCCCTCCCCCGCTCCGTACGATTGTGCCCTGCTCTGAAAGTTTTTTTGAGTTTATAGATTCCTCTTTTGGGTAACTAGTGTCTGTAAGTCTCTGTAGCACCACTGAGATCATGAGACGTGCTTGAGCAAGCTTAGATTGCAGCCATCTGGGCACCATAGCGAAGGACATGAGATAAAACTGTGCAGGCATCTTGAGTAAAGCTAGATAACAGCAACGTGGCCCACATAGCTGGAGTCACATGAAAGCCTGAGTTATGAGCCCGTCACTGTTTGATAAACTGCCTTTGTTCTGCTTCTGTAAAACCTGCTTTCACGCCACTGCAAGCTTGTTTCAAACTAGCCAGCTACCCTTCAGATGCATGTATAAAAGTCAAGCCCTGTCTTTGTTCAGGGCTCAGCCTCTGGATATTAAGCCACTGGCCTGGTGGCCACCTAAATACAATCCTCCTGTTCCACCCTTTGGCTTCCCCATTTCCTCGTTTCCCACAACACTCTGACCTTAGCCCCCAAGTATCTATGATTACAGACATGTGCCACCTCACTTGGCTAATTTTATTTATTTATTTATTTTTGATATGGAGTCTCACTCTGTTGGCCAGGCTGGAGTGCAGTGACACAATCTTGGCTCACTGCAACCTCCGCCTCCCGGGCTTAAGTGACTTTCCTGCCTCAGCCTCCTAAGTAGCTGGGACCACAGGCGCCCGCCACTACATCCAGCTAATTTTTTGTATTTAGTAGAGACAGGGTTTCACCATGTTAGTCAGGCTGGTCTCGAAATACTGACCTTGTGATTTGCCTGCCTCAGCCTCCCAAAGTGCTGGGATTACAGGCATGAGCCACCATGCCCAGCCTATTTATTTATTTTTGTAGAGATGGGACCTCCCAATGTTGCCTATGCAGATCTCAAACTCCTGGCGTCAAATGATCCTCCCTCATCACTCTGCACCTTGTGATTTAGTGTTTAATTCTGTAATAATGTTGTAGGAAAATACAGGTTCTTGTCACATGACAAAAAAAAGATTAGGTATGCAGACAGTTTGAATGGGGAGCAGGGCAGGGTTTATTGGATGAAAAGGAAAAAAAAAAAAAAAAAAAGGAAACAGGGACTGTCAGCAAAAACGACAGTCCTGCCAGTAGGATTCCTGCCTCACATACTGAATTCCTGGTTACCACCCAAGAACAGGAGAAGCCAGGCTCCTCCCCACTGCAAGTGGCAGGAACTTC
Organism: Homo sapiens; assembly: GCF_000001405.40. NCBI lineage: Eukaryota > Metazoa > Chordata > Mammalia > Primates > Hominidae > Homo > Homo sapiens. The sequence continues at coordinate 147,174,802 of NC_000023.11, forward strand.
CCAAGGCTCCACCCCATCCTCCCAGTGAACAGGCCAGTTTGAGATTCTCTGGTACTGGCAGTCTGGTTTTTCAGCCTTCAGGCTGTTTTAGGCTTAAAGGAGGAGTTTTGCTGGGGGACCTTTGGCTGCCTCTTGTCTCTATCAATAATTTTGTCTTTTTCATCATTTTTATTGAGTTCAAGCAAATCTCTTTTCATTGGTCACAGTTTTTGTATATATCTATTCTTAGATACTGAATTTCAGAATCAAGGAAGTTTTTATTTTTCATATATCCAAGTGTTTGAGTATATTTAGTTCACTTGAAGATGTTATCTTGCAGGTTTTACTGCTTTATGGTTGTTTTGTTGAAAGAGGTTGCCTCTTAGTTTAAATTGAATCAAATATCAGCTTTTTGAGTTTAAAAATAAGTTTATATTGATTTTTTCAACTATATATAGTGTGTATGTGTGTGTGTGTGTGTGAGTGAGTGAGAGAGTGTGTGTCTTTATAGGACCATGTTCTATCAGCACAGCAAAATCCAAGTTCTGTTCCGAATTTTTGGAGATTTGTTGTGCTTCTTTCATTTATTCTTTTGCTTGTATTTGGCTAGCATGATCCTAAATTTCTCCTTTTTAAGTATTTTTCCTTTTCCAATGCACTTGTCAAAAGGCACCTCTTTCTTCCTTTTTGCTGTTTGCTCTCTCAAAATGTAAGTCTTTCCAAGACTGAAAATTCATATTACATACCTCTTTTACTCTCTTCCATATAGTTGATATTCTACCCAAACAAACAAAACACTTTTTTAGTATTTTGTCTGTCAGTATAAACTTATTTTTTCAGGCTATAGATCTTAATAAATTTTAGCTCTGTCACTAGTACCCCTTTTTCCTCATCCTCACAGCTTTTTTTTTTTTTTTTTTTTTCCCGGACTGTCTTCACTTATAAGATAGGTTTACAGTCTAGGATTTTATGTGTTTTTTGCCTGTTTGCTTGCTTAATATTATTCCAAACTATGAGAAATCTGTATCTCAAGTTATCCTGACAAGATTGGTTTGGGGCTAGTTTTCTTTCTTTGTTTTGTTGATTGCCACTAAAGTTTAGCAAATAATGGGAGAAGTAAAATTCTATATTGTCTTTAACTTCCCAATCCAACTAATTATCTTTCTTTGATTTGATTTAAACCGTACACCTTGCATGGCTTCAATTCTTCCAACCCTTCAAATAATAGAACACAGAGACTCTTGAGACAAGGATTTATTCACTTGCCCATGATAGGCAATCAGTTTACAATGTATTGTTGATTCTCTTCATAGTGGTCCATAATTATTGGTATTTATGTTCATTATACTTTCGTATCATTTTTGTTACTTTGTAGTGTAAACCAAAATGTATCTGAGACTGGTCTCAATCACTTTGGATGTTTGTTTTGCCAAGGTTAAGGAAAATAACCAGGAGAAAAATACACAATCACAGAAACAGTCTGTTGTCTGGGCCTTTCTCCAAAGATGAATTGAGGGCTTCAATATTTAAAGAGGAAAAGCATGCTGGAGGGGAAAGAGGAAGGGTATGGTAATCCACATGTTGCAAGAGAAAATGCGCAGGTAGGGGAATAGTCATATTCATCTCATGCTCAGTAAATTAGCACTTTACATGCAATGAGGTGAAGATAGAGTAGCTACCTGTGGGAAATTTTAACATTTCATCTTTATTAATAATCAGAATAACAACTTTTGATCAGAACTTGTCTAAATATATTTATTCAAACTAATATATAAGTAGATAGATATAGAAATAGATTTAATCTAGGTTTTGTAAAATAGTTCTGACTCAATGCTAAACATAAAAAAATTAAACTACATTTAGCCAGGTGTGGTGGCTCATGCCTATGATCCCAGCACTTTGGGAGGCCGAGGCGGGTGGATCCCCTGAAGTCAGGAGTTCAAGACCAGCCTGGACAACATGGTGAAACCCGTCTCTATTAAAAATACAAAAATTAGGCATGGTGGCATGCGCCTGTAATCCCAGCAACCCAGGAGGGTGAGGCAGCAGAATCATTGGAACCTGGGAGGCAGAGGCTGCAGTGAGCTGAGATTGCACCACTGAACTCCACCCTGGGCGGAAAAAAAAAATCAAAGTACATTTACCACTATATGTTTAGGTTTTACTTACATCTGGTATCTAAGGTGAACTCTTTCTGTGAATGCTCACACTCAGACTCAATGACTATATTCACGAAGCACTTTCATTAGATATACACTGATATAATTTTTACAGTCGGCCTCACAAAAGTGGTTTTTCTATCAATTGTTCATAGAGCACACATCTTTTAGAAACACAAACTTTGACATTTATAAGACCTAAATCTTAGTTCTGGGAGAAGAATAAGACCGTGATTTTACCTTTAAATTGTCAATAGCTGTAAGCTACAATATGTTTAAACCATATTGTTACAGGTAGTTATGCATTAACGGAGCAGGAGAAGGCTCTCCCCCCACCCAATAGAAGTGTCTGGTGATTTCAGGCAATTATTGCATTGTCTCTCTAAAAATAACAATTGGGCAGCACCAGGGAGAGGCCATTCCCTGGTGGTCCACACCTGTTAACATCAAAATGTTAACTGAATGCAGGCTCCAGGGAGAAGCAACTTCCTGAGCATGCATATTAAGAGACAAAAAGGGTGAACTATGATCTTGGGGCAGGCGAGGGCTCTCCCCCAACACTCATGCCTAACTAACTACCTGTAACAATATAAAGACCAACTTTTTTTTGTAAGACACATTCCTGAGAAGTAATTTATAGAATATAAAATAAGCAATTTAAAGTGCAATTCAAAAATGTTTAGTATATTCGTGGACTTATGCAAACATCCATAGAATATAAATATACAAAATTTTACTCAACTCATAAAAACACCCCAAATAGGGCTGGGCGCGGTGGCTCATAACTGTAATCCCAGGACTTTGGGAGGCTGAGGCAGGCAGATCACCTGAGGTCGGGAGTTCGAGACCAGTCTGACCAACACGGAGAAACCCTGTCTCTACTAAAAATACAAAATTAGCCGGGTGCATGCCTGTAATCCCAGCTACTCGGGAGGCTGAGGCCGGAGAACCCTTGAACCCGCGAGGCGGAGGTTGCGGAGAGCCGAGATTGCGCCATTGCACTCCAGCCTGGGCAACAAGAGCAAAACTCCGTCTCAAAAAAAAAAAAAAAAATTTATCAGTCTATTCTCAATCACCCCAACACAATCCTCCAGTCCTAGAAATACACTCATGTAGTTTTGGTCTCTACATATTTGTCAATTCTGGACATTTTCTATGCATGAAATGATACAATATGTGATCTTTTGCATCTTTCATTTACCATAATGTGGAAGACAGAGCAACAAACTAAAAAGGATTATTCTAAGACCTCAAGTTCTAACGGAATTTGCCTTGGTTAGTTTAGGACTTGCTTGGAACCCACTGCCCCTTCCTTCCCTACCAGTTCTCATTTTCAGGATGGAAATGTCTATCGCATACGTGTCCCATGATTGTATGCTGGAAGCACACATGTTGTCTGGCTTGACAGGTTCACAGCTGGAGAGGAAATTTGTCTCAGGATGAATCATACCTCAAGCCTCACCCACATCTAACTTAAATATTATTTACATGAGCCTTTGGATTTCAGACTTTGGAGTTGATGATAGAAAAAGTTAAGACTCTTTGTGTTGTTGGGATGGATTGGATGTATTTCGCATGCAAGAAGGACATACATTTTGAGGGGTCAGGCAGAATGCTACAGACCAAATCCTATATGATCAAAATTCATCTGTTGAAGCCTTAATCTTCAATGTGATTTTATTGGATGTGGGACCTTGGGAGATAATTAGGTATATATGAGGTCACAAGGGTGGGCCCCGGTGATGGGATTAGTGGTCTAATAAGAACAGGCACTAGAAAGCTTGCTGCTTGTCTCTCCATGCTTTGTAAGAACATGGAAGGGGGCAGCAATCTATAAGCCAGGAAGAGTGCTCTCATCAGAAAGAGACAATGCTGGAACCTTGATCATAGACTTCTAGACTCCATAACTGTGAGGTAATAAAATTTTGTCATTTAAGCCAACTAGTCTACGGTATTTTGTTGTGGCAGCCTAAGCTGACTAAGATACACTATGAGACCAATAATTACACTCCTGGTTATATAACCAACAGAAGTGAGTGTTTGTTTACATATGTACAGTACCACATCCAGCCGATTTTTTAATGTTTTCATAGAGATAGAGTCTCTCTATGTTTCCCAGGCTGGTCTCAAACTCTTAGCCTCAAGTGATTCTCCCACCTTGGCCTCCCAAAGCGAGAAATGAGTGTTTGCATTCAACAAAACACATGCACAAGAATGTCAATTTCACATTTACTCATAATGGCTAAAAACTGGAATGAACTAAAGGTACACCAAGTTTTGAATGAATAATTTCTGCTATATTCGTATAATGAAATACTGCAGAGCAATGAACAAGAGCAGATTACTGTTACATACAACAACTTATAACAACGTGTAACATATCACAGACAATGTAGCGAGAAAGATACCAGACTCAAAAAAGTATCTAGTGTGTGGCTCCATTTACATGAATGTCAAAAGCAGGTAAACTAGTCTATCCTGATAGAGTTCAGAATAATGGTTAATTTTGGAATATATTAGCTTGGAGAGGCATGAAGTTACCTTCTTTGGTGTTGGAAATACTCTGAGTACAATTAACATTTATGCACACTGCTATAAATATGTTTAATTCAATAAAAAATAAGGAAATTAAGGCCTATCAGGATCCACCCATCCCCAGCCAGTGGCTCACTTCATATTAACAAGTAATACTTTCCCATAATGCCCTATGAGAATGAACATGCAGCACCTAGCACGGTCCCTTTTCTAGAGAGAACAGGGCATTCAGTATTGGTTGAATGAGCGACACCATCCAGCCTTGCCTTTGAAATCTTTCACCTTCCCATTCCCTACTTCCACAGTTCCACCTGATCTCTAGCTTGTGTGATGCAAGCACCAAGGAATGTGGAGAAGCCTGAAGTTGAGGATTGGGCAGCACAAATGGAGAACAAGTGGGCAGACAGCAGACAACCTGAGAAATGAGAGGGAGAGGAAGAGGAAAGGAGGGAATAGCCTGCTCTGGAGGGAAGTGGGAGTCCCTTCATGCCCCTCTCAAGGGGTTGACATGGTGGTGGGAAATGCTGCTGAGATTGTGCCACCCATTTCAGAAGAGCTCTCTGGGCGGAATGTCAGCTGCATTAAAGTGGCTTCTGTATCAATCCCTCTTTAGGACTTGGTAATCATCTCCTTAGTACATCATCTCCCATTTTCTTACATATTACCTGGTTATATTTTTCTTTAACACAGAAAAGGAGGCAGGTACATTGTAATGAAAAGTTCCTCTTAATGAATAGACCTCTGAAAGAAAATCTGCATCAAGAAGAAAGGGGTTCCCTTCACTTCAGGACACCCTCAATGGTAGCTGTGCCACCTGAGGGAATATGCTTCAATCTCTTCTGGGAGTTAAGAGGTTGGGGCCGGGCGCGGTGGCTCACGCCTGTAATCCCAGCACTTTGGGAGGCTGAGGTGGGTGGATCACCTGAGGTTAGGAGTTTGAGACCAGCCTGGCCAACATGGAGAAACCTCATCTCTACTAAAAAAAATGCAAAAATTAGCTGGGCATGGTGGCATGCGCCTATAATCCCAGCTACTCTGGAGGCTGAGGCAGGAGAATCGCTTGAATCCAGGAGGTGGAGGTTGCAGTGAGCCGAGATCGTGCCACTGCACTCCAGCCTGGGCGACAGAGCAAGATCCTGTTTCAAAAAACAAACAAACAAACAACAACAACAACAAAAGAGAGAGGTTGGTGTGAATTCCCCGAGAAAACTATCCAGTGTAGATGCATCTTTCCCCTAAACCACTGAAGGTGACTCAGTTTGGCTGTTTTCTCTGTGGGTGTCTAAAGGAAGATGTAACATTCTGTAACACTTGTCTTCTGTCTTCAGGTATCTGCACAGCTTCACAGAAGATTATCTGGATCTGGAGAAGAGGTGGGTGTCTCTGGGAAAGAAGCAGAGAGGTGAGTGGCACAGAGGCTGTGGTGAGTGAATCTGAGGGTTTGTATCATCTCTTAGGCCTGAACACCAATGCCTTCACCTCAACACGTGAAGGGCGTGCTCACCGAGCAGCGGAGGAGAAAGGGCAAAGGGGAGGGTGAAGTCCAAGTTATTGCACAAAAGGCTGTGACCACTCCCAGGCTGATCATCCCTGGGGCTGGGAGGAAAGTTATTTGCAGAGGAGAACAAGATCAGGACTCTTCCTAACAAAGGCTGAGTAAGAAACTGGGTTTCTGACCTCTCTACCCCAGCAAGCTCAGAGTCCCCTGCCTTTCCTCTGTTCTGGCTCTGTGTGTTTGCATTACTCACTCTGTGGTTAGAAGTTCAGGTAAGTAATTCTGGAAAAGGAGCTTTTGGAAAAAGTTGCCTGGAAAACAGGACGCTGCTTGGAGTGTCATTTCTCCTTATCAATTGAATATGGACTTAGACAACTCAGCTCAGGTGAGGGGACACTCATTCTGGGTAAGGTGGAAGAGGGAGGGCAGGAGAGGGGGCCTGGCCAGGTTTTTGTAGACATTTTGATGTCAGCTTATAGGCTGATAGCAGCAGCACACTCGTCACCACACAATCAAGGTTCAACGGATTGCCTAGGACACAAATTGGTGAGTAGCTGCCACTTTGCTCATTTTTTAAAAATGTTTTAAAATTTTTCTCTACATAATTGTGTGAAGGAATGAAAGGAGGAGAGACAGGTCAGGCTTAGTGAGAATGGAGAAATGCCATTTTGACTTTCCTTTTTCAACTGTTTTTGTGTGCCTTTCCTTACACAGGGAAGAGAGAGAGAGAGAGAAAGATACAAGTACAGGATGTGCAGACATTGTGCTAAATAGCAATAGCAGTCCTCTGTGTCTGGGCAGCAGGTGATATATTTTTACATCCCTGAGTTTTGAATGGGGGGTTATCCTGATTCCTCCTACTCAGGTGAGTTTCCTTATAACATGTCAGGGAATTTCATGGGTAAATGGTGTTTATGGAGTTTTATTGCCAATCTCAAAATAGCTACACACCTCCCCAACTCCAGCCTCAAAATGTGTTTTACAACCTGAGAAAAGGAAATGGCTCTGAGTTGTGTCCTTACATGTCTAGCCATATCCAGCATTTGTTGACCTTTCATGGGGTCTGCTCATATCTTGCTTGAGCTCTGAGCCTTTCCCGTTTTAGAAAACCAGTTCAGGCCATGTAGCTATTATGTGTCGGCATGAGAACTCCGACCAAAGCCACCGTCCCTAGGAACTGTGTTCTTTTAACTCGTATGCTTTGTGGCCTCACCAGGTGAGGCCTGCCAGGAGAATAGGCAGTTGCAGAGGCTGGATCCTTTTTGTCATATAGCCACCTTCTTGGGACCTCAGTCAGGTGATGGAAGCAATCTAAAACTTCAGATTTCCTAAAGAGTGTGAGTAGGGTAATCTGATGGCCTAGGATAGTTGGAGAAGGCTCAGGAGCCTCAGGGTCTCCAAAGGACTGTGCAGGTAATTGAGTTTCATAAAATGTGGTATCATTTGTTCAGAGATGAGAAGTCTTTTTAAAATAGGCCTGACTGTTGCACGTTTGTTTGTGCTGGGTTCATTGGGATGAGGCCCCTCTCATTGAGTTTTGCTGGTTCTGGATTTAGAACACCAAATTCCCTGCTCCCTTCAGGCAGAATTTCCACCCAGAAAAAAGCACCATCTCAGAACCAAACAGTAGTGATCAAGGCATGAAAGCAGGTAAAGGGCAGTTGATTCTGAGTGCAGAAGGAAGGAGGTATGAGCTGGTCAAGTGGGATGCACGGCTTCCCTTTCCCCAGGCCCGGAGGTTTCATGGTTTTAATAAGTGACATGAACACACTATCCATACACCAAAATCATGGGTTTGCAATAGCATTTTATGCTATTTCCTGTGATTATAGATGTTTCATTTATCCATAATTTATGTTATTTAGGAGTTCTTAGTATTTTGGGGGGAGCTACCCTCCAGACATTTTTTATTTTCTTCACTTTGGGCATTTAGCAATAGTTTCCTCCAGAGGCAGCCCAGGTATTTGGAAGGCGTGATAATCCCCACAGGCTTTATTTTCATTTTTGGTGTAATGATAGATATTACTTAAGGAAAGGCACAGATCATAGGCCAGTCTGTTTATGCACTGCAAAAAAAATGCACACAGCTTCTTTTGTAGCAGGACTGGTCACAGACAAAACCTCTCGGACACCAGTTTAAGGAAGGAAGAGGCTTTAATCAGCTGGGAGCATCAGTAGACTCGCATCTCAAGGTCTGAGCTCCCCAAAGTGAAGATTCCTGTCCCTTTTAAGGGCTTACAACTCTAAGGGGTCCACGTGAAAGGGTCGTGATACATTGTGCAAGCGGGGGCTATGGGATTGAGGGCTACGTGCATCAGTAATGGGGGCTAGCAGAACAGAACAGAAAGTTTCACAGCGCTTCCTCATACGATGTCTGGCATCTACAGATAACACAAGCAGTTAGGTTAGGAGTTGATGTTTAACTACCAGGCCTGGTTTTTGGTGCCAAGCTGTCTGGCTGTTGACCTCACTTCTGCTTCTTTTTAACTTTCTGCTTCCTTTTTGAAACAGGAGACAATGGGAGAGGTGGTCTCCTTCCTTATTTTCACATTTATAATGAGCATTATAGCCTAGTGTCCGGCTAGGATTGAGACAAGCAGGGCACTGGTGACCTTTAGAGATGCTTTTGCTCATTCACAAGAATTTGATCCAGGCCTGTAAGGTGCAGGAATTGTGACTGTGATGCAGATGTAAAGCTGATGAGCAGTAAGACCTTTGCATTGAAGGCACATGCAGTCAGGTAGGGGACAGGGAGGATAGTACACAAATGGGCAACGAGAGGAGAACATGGCAGAGAGGGAGGTAAGAGTTCCTCCCCTTCCCACCCAAGAGGGTGCATGTGAATGGGGATCTCTGGACTTCAGGCCCTGGCTTCTCAACAAGATGAAGTGAAAACCACACCACTCTCTTTCTGTCTTTAGTCACCCGTTGCACCTGTGAAAAATAGTCAGGTCTTTATTTTTCTTCTTCCTTGCAGGATGCAGGGGACACAGGGCTTGGCTCAAAAGTGTTGACGTCCCTTCCTTCTCAGTGGCAAGGATAGTGTGTCTTATAGACCAGGGTGTCTGGGCTGCAGTGAGAAGTGGCCATCCTGGGGCAGCCCTGAGTGGGCCTCGGGCCCTTCCCTCCCAGACCCGGGAAGGGCACCACTGAAGAATCAAAACAGGTGAAGAGTCAGAAAGGGCCCCTATAGGAGCAAGAGGGAGACCAGCCCAGAGAACAAAGGAGTTATCTGGAAGAAAGGGTTGGTGGATGCTGGGCCCTGACTGCCCAGTGTTCCTCTGGTGCTTATCTCATCCCCTCCTGGTTCTCAAAGCAATCTCGCCATCAAGGAGTTTCCATGGTGACGGCAGTCATTCTTGATCCCTCCCACCGTCCAGCTGATTTTCGGAGGCATCTGGTGAGAGTGGGGAGGGGGTCGGAAAAGAATAACGCATTGGATTTTTGCCACCCTCTGTCTCTTGGTGTCCTTCTGAGGGGGACAGAGCAGGGGCAAGGCTGGCAGTGGTGTAGGCTGGGGTGGGGGATGAAGGCATTTGTGATACCCTTCACCTCCTGTGTTCTCCTGAGTCCCATGACTAGCATGGCAGCCGATTATTCTTACTACTCATTCCTGATTGTCTTTTTGTTCTTTTCCTTCCCATTGTTTAAGCCTCTGTTCTGAAATGTACCCTCTGATGCAGGCTGCAGGGAGAAGATGTCTCAGAGCAGCCAGGAATTTGCTGCAAGGTTTGAGTCAGGCAGCTCAGGCTCCTCTCCTCAAAACCATTCCAACTCCAAATTTGTCAATAAAAGGAAACCTGACAACTGTGGTTAATGACAGGAGCCTTAGTTGCTTTGTTCCTCTCTACCCATGAAGGTCACAGAGAACAGGGAGAGATTGGACCAGATGGTTCACAGGACAAGTGGTCTGTCTTGACCCAGAGTGGGCACACATAAAGGAATCTCTCAGTGTTCCCAAGCAATCAGCAGTCTCTTGACCCAGAATGGGTACACATAAATGAACAATTCCATGTTCCCAAGCAGTCAGCTCGGAAGTATCTCAGCAATCTAGCACTATTGGGTCAGCAAACCACCTGGGCTCCTTCCAACTCTAAGCAAAAAATGTGCCTAAAGAAGTGAAACATATCACTTGTGCCAGCGATGTTAAAGGTGCTCCATCCAGGCTAACACAAGTACAAAAATTCTTAATAATTCTTGGTATTTGTCAGAGAGCCCCCACCTTTTATCAATGTAACCCTGTGAAGTTTCACTTTACAAATAACAACAAAGACATATCCCGTAAACTAGAATGAAAATACTGTGTAGATTTTGTGTGTGCTTTGGTAACAATGACTCCCAATGAGTCAGGTGTTCCTGTGAAAACACCATTTTGCAATGAGACTTTTTGTCTCTCTCCTTTCAGGGTTTGAATTCATTTCCTTATGCGGTGATGCTGGCTTGGTTATTTTGATCAGTGAAATCTTTCTGATGTGACATTGCTCACTTTCCTAGGCTGAGTCCTAAGATGTTTCACAGTTTCTGTCTTTGCCCTTTTGGAGTCTTGAGCTCCCCACGCTGAGAACAATTCCAGAATGAAAGACCAGCTGGAGGGAGAGGCCCAGCCATGCTAGCTGTTCCTGCCATTCCAGTTGGAACTGCATCCTTGTGAGGGGGCATTCTAGACCACCCCAGAGTAGATGTCTGTAGTTGCATGTTTGAGCCCAGGTGAGCCTAAGCAGAAGAAACTCCCAGTGAACTCACTGAATCATAGAAAACTGTAATCACTGTTTTCTGGCACTGTGGTTCAGGATGGAATGCAGCCATAGGTTGAGTATCAGGTTTGATCCTCTTTAGTCTTGCGTGTAAGTATCCTTTCGTGTTACAGTATAACCCTAGGATCAGACTACGGACTTGGTTCACAGCATTAAACAACTTATTTAACTTCTCTAAGCTGCATTCTTTATCTGTAAGTTCATGATAAAAATAACTACTGCCTTCTGAGGGTTTTGAGTGGATTAAATGTGATAATACATGTATGTTCTTAATGAAAAAAATTATGGAACAAAATCTAAGAAAAAGAAAATACTATTTAAAATGGAATATTTTAGTAAATCTGAAAGTAGAAAACACTTAGAAAACATTTAAAATATTTAAAATGCTAAAAAAGTCAGAAATCAATCAGAAAAATATTGTATGATAGAATGAAACAGCACATAAAACCATGTTTCACAATTATTAGGCTAATGTTTTTATAAAACATTCATGATGCATTATTTGAAATCATTTATAAGAAAATGGCACAAAATTGTTGACCCCATCCTAAAACCTAAGTATAAATACAGATAAATGTGTGGAAAGATCCACATCTAAATTTTATCAAACACTGTATCCACATTATGATGTTACTGGAATTATTTCATTACTGCTATTCATGTTTTTCACACCTTGTATGTGCTTTCCACATTGTTCTGTAATAAATAGGAATTATCCTCATGGTCTGAAAAAGAAATACATCAATAAAAATGTAGTTTTCTTTGGCAGAATTCTGATATAAGAATAACTCGGACAGGTGTAAAAGTTGTTTTTGGCAGTTATTTTTCCTCTTTTGAGCTTCCTGAATCTATACATACTCAGCCTGTTCAGTTAGAGTTCTTGCCTTTCCATGTTCCTGACTCCTAAGCTGAACACATTTTAATTTATTATATATTATGAGGATAAACTAATATATTCACATTAACGAGGTGACGAAATTATAGTATAGCAAGGAAGGTCCAGAATGAATACGTAAACATTAAACCAGGGTTTTTCATGTGCTAGGACTACAACACAGATCAAAACAGCTTCAACACATGCTAACAGAACTGACATTTTAAAACACAGATAATTTTTACAAAGTAACTAGTAAAATACTTAGTATACACAGGAGTGCTAAATTATATGTAGTTATTTATGCTGGATATATGTTATATGTAATTCAATAATGTGATAAATATTTTTATTCTGTAATTTGCCTTTTTATTATCTCAGTGGTCTTATTTGAAGACGTCTTAATTTTTTCAAAGTCTATTTTATCAATTTATTTTTAATAAATTTTATTTTTATATTTTGATATCATATGTAATAATTTAATGGTCAAAAATATTTTCTCTCATTTTTTTCATGCAATTTGATAGTTTGACGTTTTGGCTTAAGATTGTGTTAATTTCTGTATGTGGTTTGAAATACGATCAAGGTTCATATTTTTTATATATCTCACATTTCCCAGCATCTTACTGTTTAAATACTATCATTTCTTCATTAGATTGACTTTACAGCTTAGTCAAAATGAATTGGTGACATATATGGATATTTCTGGTCCTTCTATTTGTCCATCCTTTCTTCAGTACCACAGTACATTGGGTAATCTAATTAGACAGTAAATCTGGAAATTACAAGTGTAAATTTTCCAGCTTTGTGATTCTCTTTCAGATTGTTTTGGATATTCTAGTTTATTCGCCTTTTATATCAGTTTTAGAATCATCTTGCTAATGTCTACAAATATTTTTCTGGGACATTGGTTGGAATTGTATTACTTCTAGAGATTAATGGAAGTCTAAAAGTCTATAGATTTGAATCCTTCAATCCATAAATATGATAGTCCTCGCCACTTAATTAGTATTTTTTTTTAGTATATTTACAGTTTTAGCATACAGATGTTTTGGGGTTTCTATTGATACTGTAATAAATTGCCACAGATTTAGTTGTTTACAACAACACAAATTTATTATATTAGAGTCTAAAGGTCAAAAATCTAAATTAGGTTTCTCTTGGCTAAAATGAAGGCATTGGCAGGGCTTTGTTCCTTCTGTTGGCTCTAGAGGAGAATCTACTTGATTGTCTTTAGAAGATTCTAGTTACTTTCTCCATTCTTTGGCTCATGGCCTTTACCTCTACCTCTAGTCAATACTATAGTATTTTGCAATGTTTCTCATTCTAACCACCTTTCTCCAACGTATAAGGGCCCTTGTGATAATGTTGGGCTCACCTAGATAATCTAGGATAATCCCAATCTCAAAATATTTAATAACATCTACAAATTTTCTTCTACAATAAAATATGATGCTTACGAGTTCAGGGGTTACATTGTGAACATTGTTTGGGCGGGGGCTGTTACTCTGCCTACCACAGAGATCTTGTAATTTTTTCTTAGAGTTTCAAATAAATATTTTATGTTCATATTTTATTTTTCAATTAGCTTGATTTAATCATTGCATAATGTACACATATATCAAAACGTCATGTTGTACACCTTAAATATGATTTTTATGTCAGTTAAACCTTAATAAATTGGAAGAAAAAAGGCTGAGTAATACAAAACAGTATTTCACTGAAAAAAAACACAAATACCAGTAAATATACTATTCTTTTGAGAAATCATAACAGAGGTATGATAACAACTAAATTCTCTTTTATTTCATTTTAAGATATCACTTAAAGTTATATAAGTAAACATGCATCACTATAATACAGTTTTAGAAATTATATACTAAAAACAGTTATCACTTTGGAAAATTCTATGTACATACAGTATTGCAAAGTGACAAAATTTTTTTACTGTTCAGAATGTTGCCCCCACCCCAAAAAGATTGTATGTATTCTATTATTACAATGTTTTTCATTATGGAAAAGATACTTCAACTGTTTTTTTTACTTTCAGACATTAATGGTCTTATACATATTCATACATTCTGAATCTAAAAAAACATAAACCAAAATCCTGCCTGTAACCATATAGTAATTGTTTTTTATAGTTTTTCCCTTTCGGTGTTTATGCTGTAGCCTCTGTTTCAGTTGGAATCAAAATTGTATTAATCACTTACTATTTATAACATTTTTTACACATTTCCACAATATAAATAGCTTATTTATAACCTACTTCCCAAACATGTATACTAGATTAATGCTGCAGATGGCCTTACATAGTCTGGTGCTTGTCTTTCTCTTGCATGTTCTCTCTCTCTCTCTCTCCTCTCTCTCTCTCTCTCTCTCTCTCTGTGTGTGTGTGTGTGTGTGTGTGTGTGTGTGTGTGTGTGTGTTTATTTCCCTCTATTTCTCTCCATTAGGTTAAGAGTTAAGCGTCACCAAAAGAAAATGGGGAGAGAAGCCTAGGAGATATCTCTTGAGTATCAATTCTGTCATACCCTTCCATTCTTCAAATATACTCTTAAAAAATGGGGAAAAAAGATAATTAAAAAGGGTGAAATATTCTTGGGTGGACTATGCTTAACCCTTCATAAATTGGTGACTGAAGGCTTTGAAAGGTATTTTAACAGTCAATGAGAAAATGTTTTAGTCTTTGACAGAAAATGGACACTGTGGATCAGCAATGAAGGGACCTGAGAGGCAGGAGAGCCTTTTGGGAGCACTAAAGGACAATCCTTGCAAATGATGACTAGTTGATCAGTGAAAAGAGTTTAGAGAATTGAGGAATCTGGAGTAAAATGTCTCAGCTGACGAAGAATGGCTGTGGCCTCTATACAACGTATTTCTTATTTGAGCCAAGCCTCATTTGGCAAAAGTAGATAAATTCTTAAGGAACCAAAGTGCATGCGTTTTCTCAGGAGTCCACAGTTCTTATGTGTAGTCGTCTAGAAGGCACAAAAAGTTCCTTGAAGTAGCCCAGCACTGAGGAGTGGGTGCACAGGATGCAAAACAGGCATCACCATGCTCGCAGCTACAGCCCCATCCCTAGGGACACCACATATGCAGTGCATGCTGTACATTACTCTTCTCAGAAAGGTGAAATTTATATTTTAGTTCACATAAACGACACCTCCTTGAGAAAGGCACTGTACGCTGAATGGCTGAATGTGGCATCCCAGACCAAATGTTCCCTATTCATGCCGTTTTTATTCAAGTCCCTATAGGTGTATGCCTTCGCATGGCCACCAAGATTTATGCCAAGTAACAATGCAACTTCTAGCCCCTAGCACTCCCCTTTTCACCCTGCCCTGAGTGAGATATTAACATGCAGATTTTTGTTTTGTTTTGAGACGGAATCTGGCCCAGACTGGCATGCATTGGCGTGATCTTGGCTCACTGCAACCTCCGCCTCCCGGGTTCAGGTGATTCTGCCTCAGCCTCCTGAGTAGCTGGGATTAAAGCTGTGCACCACCATGAACAGCTAATTAACACGCCGATTTTTAGGCTGAGCAATGATAGAGCTTTTCACTTCTCCTCTTTTTCAGAGGTGAGTTATCCTTGTCTGAATTATCCCATTGGTTTTCCTGTAATTTTGCTTGTCTCATTAAAAATCCTCAAAGTCTTTGCTATTGTGAATAATGCCGCAATAAACATACGTGTGCATGTGTCTTTATAGCAGCATGATTTATAGTCATTTGGGTTATATACCCAGTAATGGGATGGCTGGGTCAAATGGTATTTCTAGTTCTAGATCCCTGAGGAATCGCCACACTGACTTCCACAATGGTTGAAACCAACCCAAATGTCCAACAATGATAGACTGGATTAAGAAAATGTGGCACATATACACCATGGAATACTATGCAGCCATAAAAAATGATGAGTTCATGTCCTTTGTAGGGACATGGATGAAATTGGAAATCATTCTCAGTAAACTATCGCAAGAACAAAAAACCAAACACTGCATATTCTCACTCATAGGTGGGAATTGAACAATGAGATCACATGGACACAGGAAGGGGAATATCACACTCTGGGGACCGTGGTGGGGTGGGGGGAGGGGGGAGGGATAGCATTGGGAGATATACCTAATGCTAGATGACGAGTTAGTGGGTGCAGCGCACCAGCATGGCACATGTATACATATGTAACTAACCTGCACAATGTGCACATGTACCCTAAAACTTAAAGTGTAATAAAAAAAAAAAAATCCTCAAAGTCAGGCTAGGCTCGGTGGCTCACTCCTGTAATCCCAGCAATTTGGGAGGCCAAGGTGGGCAGATCATCTGAGGTTAGGAGTTCGAGACCATCCTGGACAACGTGGGAAAACTCCCATCTCTACTACAAATACAAAAGATTAGCCCGGCGTAGTGGTGGGCGCCGGTAATCCCAGCTACTCTGGAGGCTGAGGCAGAAGAATCACTTGAACCCAAGAGGCAAAGGTTGTAGTGAGCCAAGGTTGCACCTTTGCACTCCAGCCTGGGCAACAAGAGTGAAAATCTGTCTCAAAAAAATCTTCAGACTCAGCCGGGCATGGTGGCTCATGCCTGAATTCCCAGCTCTTAGGGTGGCCCAGGTGGGGAGATCACTTGAAGCCAGAAGTTTGAGACAATCCTGACCAACATGGTCAAACAAACATGGTAAAACACCATCTCTACTAGAAATACAAAAGTAGCCAGGTGTAGTGGCTTGCACCTGTAATCACAGCTACTCTAAGCTGAGGCAGGAGAATCACTTGAACCAGGAAGGCAGAGGTTGCAGTGAGCAGAGATGGTGCCAATGTACTCTAGCCTGGGTTACAGAGCGAGACCCTGTCTCAAAAAAACAAAAACAAAAAACCCTTAAAATTACAGTTAAGTACAAAGGACCAACCACTCACTAAAGCTTTCTGTTGTCCTAAAACTCCAGCTGTGCTGCACAGACCTAAATTCCAACAGAAAAACCACAGAATACAACCACCTGGATGCAGAGAAGTGCAGAAGAGTCAGAGAAAACTAGGTTAGAGAGAGCAGAAATTTAATTTCTTCTTCAGGCTATGCAGGGGGAAGAATCCATAGAAATTAATACGAGAGAGAGACGAGACAGATAATGGGCTGGAAGACAGGAAATGCTATTCTATTTCTCTTAGCTCCATGGTTCTTTATCGTTCATTTATTGGGGTGCTCTCTCTGTGTGTGTGTGTGTGTGGGCGGGGTGGTGTTATTAATAATTAATAAGATTTTTTAGCTTTAATATTTAGTGTTTGCATTAATATATTTTCCATCTTTTTACTTTTACCCAACTTTCACATAGGTCTTCATATTTAAAATGGGTTTGTTTGACATAGTATATTAGTGGTTTCTTATTTTTATGTAATTTGACAATCTCTGTCTTAATAGAAGCATTTATATCATTTATATTAATACAATTATTTATATATGTGCATTTAAATCTACCGGTTTTCTAGTTGTTTTCTATGTTTCATCCTTTTCTAATTCCTATTTTCCTGTTTTTCTGCCTGATGGCAGACTCAGTATTTTTATCATTCAGTTATATTTTCTGCACTCTTATTAGTTGGTCACTTAAAAAAAGATAGTGGTTGCTCTGGAGTTTCCAGTGTCCATATTTAATTCATCACAGTCTATCTTCAAAGAATATGATCCTACTTTTTGTATAGTTTAAAAATCTTATGATGGTATACTTACAATTCACCCCATCCTTTGTAATATATATGTTAATTACTTTCATTAATGTTCTAATTCCCACATACATATTTATTCACACTGTTATCTGTTACTGACTGATTGAAAATAATAAAATAACCCCTGTATGAACCCCAAAAATTTGAGGACAGGTCTCAGTTAATTTAGAAAGTTAATTTTTCCAAGGTTGAAGATGCACACCTGTGATCCAGCCTCAGGAGGTCCTGATGGCATGTGCCCGAGGTGATCAGAGCGCAGTTTGGTTTTATATATTTTAGGGAGTAATGAGACAGCGATAAAAATATGTAAAATGAACGTTGGTTTGGTCTGGTCCAAAAAGGTGGGAAAACTCGAAGTAAAAGTGGGACAACTCAAAGTAGGGAGGAGGCTTCCAGGTCACAAGTAGGTGAGAGACAAACGGTTGCATTCTTCTGACTTACTAACCTTTCCAAAGGAGGTACTCAGATACACATTTATCTCAGTGAGCAGAGGGGTGACTATGAGTAAAATGGGAAGCAGGTTTGTCCTAAGCCGTTCCCAGCTTGAATTTTCCCTTTAACTTAGTGATTTTGGGGCCCGAGATATTTCTGTTTCACATCCATATCGTCATCTTCATCATTTTCTGGGTTTTTAGTTTGTTCGTGTAGATTAGATTCATGTTTCTGCCCGGTATTTCTTTCTGCCTGAGGAAATGTGTTAACATGTCATGTAATGCATTTCTACTGGGGTGAATAATCTAAATTTTCTTTGTCTGAAAAAAATTGTCATTTGTGTTTATTATAGAGATAATGTGAGTCCATCAAAATCAGTATTTATCTCTCAAAATTGTTTGCTTTTTTCTAACTGTAAATTTCTAAGAAATTTACACTTCCTATCTCTGTGCTAAAATTCCTCATTTGCTCATCCATGATGTCTACTTTTTCCAATAGTGATGTGGTTTGGATCTGTGCTCCTGCCTAAACCTCATGTTGAATTATAATCCCTAATGTTGGAGGTGGGGCCTGGTGGGAGTTGTTTGGATCATGGGGGTGAAATTCTCATGAATGGTCTAGCACCATCCCTTTGGTGCTGTTCTCATGATCGTGAGTTCTCACGAGGTCTGGTTGTTAAAACGTGTGTAGCACCTCCCCAGCCTCTCTCTTCCTCCTGTTCTAGCCATGTGAGGTGCTAGCTCCTCCTTTGAATCTGCCATGGTTGAAAGTTTCCTGAGGCCTCCCAGCCATGCTTCCTGTACAGCCTAAAGAAGCATGAGCCAAATAAAGATACCTAAAAATGTGGAAACAGCTTTTGCATTGGGTAACAGGCAGAAGTTGAAACAGTTTGGAGGGCTCGGAGGGAGACAGGAAGATGAAGGAAAAGTTGAAATTTCCTAAAGAATTGTTAAATGGCAGTCATTAAATTGCTGATAGTGATATGGACACTAAAGGCCAGGCTGAGGAGGTCTCAGATGGAAATGAGGAACTTATGGGGAAGTGGAGTAAAGGTCACCTTTGTTATGGATTAGCAAAGAAACTAGTGGAATTGTGCCCCTGCCCTAGGGATCTGTGGAACTTTGAGAGTCATGATTTAGGGTTTCTGGTAGAAGAAATTTCTAAGCAGTATGGCATTCAAGATGGGGCCTGGTTCCTTCTAATAACCTATGCTCATGTGTGTCAACAAAAAAAGATAGAAAACTGGCACTTACTTACTTATATTTAAAAGGAAAGCAGAGTGTAAAGCTTTTGAAAATTTGCAGCCTGGCCAAATGGTAGAAAATAAAAACCCATTTTCTGGGGAGGAATTCAAGCCAGCTGCAGAAATCTCCTGAAGTTACAAGGAGCTGAATGTTAATAGCCAAGACAATGGGGAGGCCTGAAAGGCATTTCAGACACCTCTGCAGTAACCCCTCCTCCCATCACGGTCTGAGAGGTTTGGAGGGGAGAATGCTTTCGTGGGCCACACCCAGGGTCCCACTGCCCTGTGCAATGTCTGGACACTGCTTCCGATAGCCTGGGTGCTCCAGTGTCAGCCTCTGCCCAAAGGGCGCCCAATACAGCTTGAGCCACTGGTTCAGAGTGTGCAAACCATGAGCCTTGGTGGTTTCCACTTGGTGTTAAGCCTGTGGGTGCCCAGAGCAAGAGTTGAGTCTTGGGAGCCTTGGCCTAGATTTCAAAGGATGTATAAAAAAGCATGGATGTCCAGGCAGAAGCCTGCTGCAGGGGTGGAGTCCTCATGGAGAACCTTTACTAGGGCAGTTCAGAGGGGAAATGTGGGGTTGGAGCCCCCATGCAGAGTCCACAATGAAGTACTGCCTAGTGGAGCTGTGAGAAGAGGGCCACCATCCTCCAGACCCCAGAATGGTAGATCCACTGACAGCTTGTAATAGGGCCTGGAAAAAGCGTAGGTACTCAATGCCAGCCCATTGGGGGTTGAACCCTTCAAAGTCACAGGGTTTGAGCTACCCAAGGCTTTGGGAGCACTCCCCTTCTGCCAGTGTGCCCTGGATGTGGGACATGAATTGAAGGAGATTATTTTGGAGCTTTAAGATTTAATGACTTCCTTGCTGGGTTTCAGATTTGCGCAGGACCTGTAGCCCCTTTCTTTTGGCTGTTTTCTCCCAAGTATTTACCCAATGCTTATACCTCCATTGTATCTTAGAAGAAGTTAACTTGTTTTTTATTTTACAGGCCCATAGGCGGAAGGAATTAGCCTTGTCTCAGATGAGACTTTGTACTGTGGACTTTTGAGTTAATGCTTCAGTGAGTTAAGACTTTGGGGGAATGCTGGGATTGTAGTTTGCAAAGTGAGAAGGACATAAGATTTTGGAGAGGGAAGGGCAGTATTATAAGGTTTGGATCTGTGTCCCCACCACAATCTCAGGTTGAACTCTAATCTCCAGTGTTGGAGGTGGGGCCTGGTGGGAGGTGATTGGATCATGGAGGTGGAATTCTGGTGGAAATAAATAGCAAAAAAGCCCACTATTTAAAATGGAATATTGTAGTAAATCTGAGAGAAACTAGACAAGACTTAGAAAACATTTAAAATATTTAAAATGCTATAAAAGCAATTCAGAAATCAATCAGAAAAAAAATTGTATGATAGAATGAAACATGGCATCTAAAATGATTTTTCAAAATTATTTACCTGGTAACTCAATGTTTTTATAAAATATTCATGATGCATTACAAAATTGTGGACCCCAACCTGAAACCTAAGTAAGTGTAAATATAGATAGATGTGTGGAAAGATCTACATCTAAATTTTATCAACAACTGTATCCATATTATATGATGTTACTGGTATTATGGTATTATTTCATTACTGCTATTCAAGTTTTTCATACCTTTTATGTGTTTTCCAAGTTGTTCTGCAATAAACAGGAATTGTGCTCGTGGTCCAAAAAGGAAAGATATCAATAAAAATGTAGTTTTCTTTGACAGAATTCGGATATAAGAATAACTTGGAAAAATGTAGAATTTGTTTTTGGCAGTTACTTTCCCTCTTTCGAGCTCCCTAAATCTATATATACTCAGCCTATTCAGTTAGAGTTCTTGCCTTTCCATGTTCCTGACTCCTAACTCTAATAAATGTTGTTAACGCATTATAAATTATGAGGATAAACTAATATATTCACATTAATGATGTGACAAAATTATAGTATAGCAAGGAAGGTCCAGAATGAATACGTAGCCATTAAACCAGGTTTTTTTCATGTGCTAGGACTACAACACAGATCAAAACAGCCTCATAGAACTGACATTTTATTGAAAAACACAGATACTTTTTAAAAAGTAACTAGTAAAATTCTTGGTATACACAGGAGTGTTAAATTATATGTAGTTATTTATGCTGGATATATGTTATTTATCACATTATTAAATTACATATATTTTTAGTATTCTGTAGATTGCCTTTTTATTATCTCAGTGGTCTGATTTGAAGACAAATTTTAATTTTTTCAAAGTCTATTTTATCAACTTATTTTTAATTTTACTTTTATATTTTGATATCATATATAATAATTGATAGGATGCCTATGGTATATTATCGGGGGAAAAAAGTTACTGAAAGGTAAAGAAGATTAAAAATAAATATCTATATAAATAAAAAAATATATATATATTCTGCCTTTTATTCATAAAATTTTATACTTGGACATTTTGGCCTAAAATTGTGTTATTTTCCGTATATGGTTTGAAATATGGATCGAGGTTCATATTTTTCATATATATATATATATATATCACATTTTCCAGTATCTTGTTTAAATACTATCATTTCTTCATTAGACTGACTTTACAGCTTAGTCTAAATGAATTGGTGACATATATGTATATTTCTGGTCCTTCTATTTGTCCATCCTTTCTTCAGTACCACACTATATTGGCTAATCTAGTTAGACAGTAAATCTGGAAATTACAAGTGTAAATTCTCCAACTTTGTGATTCTCTTTCAGACTCTTTTGGATATTCTAGTTTATTTGCCTTTTATATCAGTTTTAGAATCATCATGGTAATGTCTACAAATATTTTTCTGCGACATTGGTTGGAATTGCATTACCTCTAGAGATCAATAGAACTCTATAAGTCTATAGATTTGAATCCTTCGATCCATAAATATGATACTCCTCTCCACTTAATTAGGAATTATTTGATTTCCTAGTGTATTTACACTTTTAGCATACAGATGTGTTTGGTTTTCTATTGATACTGAATCAAATTGCCACAAATTTAGTTGTTTCCAACAACACAAATTTATTATATTAGGGTCTAAAGGTCAGAAATCTAAATTAGGTTTCTCTTGGCTAAAATGAAGGCATTGGCAGGGCTTTGTTCCTTCTGTTGGCTCTAGAGGAGAATCTACTTGATTGTCTTTAGAAGAAGATGCTACTTGCTTTCTCCGTTCTTTGGCTCATGGACTTTACCTCCACCTCTAGTCAATACTATAGCCTTTTCCAATGTTTCTCTTATTCTAACCGCCTTTCTCCTACTTATAAGGACCCTTGTGATAATGTTGGGCTCACCTAGATAATCTAGGATAATCCCAATCTCAAAATATTTAATTTAATCACATGCACAAATTTTCTTCTGCAATAAAATGTGTTGTTTACAAGTTCAGGGGTTACTCTGTAAACATTGTTTTGAGGGGGCTGTTATTCTGCCTACCACAGAGATCTTGTAATTTTTTTCTTAGAATTTCACCTAAATATTTTATGTTCATATTATTTTATTTTTCAATTAGCTTGATTTAATCATTTCCTAATGTACACATATATCAAAACATCATGGTGTATACCTTAAATATATACAACTTTTATGTCAGTTAAACCTTAATAAATTGGTAGAAACATGGATGAATAATACAAAACAGAATTTCTCTGAAAGAAAACATAAATACCAGTGAATATACTATTCTTTTTGAGTAAATCATAAAAGAGATACGATAACAACTAAATTTTCTTACTTTCATTTTAGGATATCACTTAAAGTTATATAAGTAACATGCTTTCACTATAATACAGTTTTAGAAACTATATACTAAGAGGAGTTATCACTTTGGAAAATTCTACGTACATACAGTATTTCAAACTGACAGAATTTTTTTACTGTTCAGAATGTTCCCCCCGACCCACACACACATACAAAGATTCTTTGTATTCTATTAGTGCAATTGTTTCATTATGGAAAAGATACATCAACAGATTTTTTTTTTTACTTTCAGTTACTAATGGTCTTACACATATTCATCCATTCTGAATCTAAAAAAAAAAACATAAACTAAAATCCTCCCTGTAACCATATAGTAATTTTTTAACAGTTTTTCCCTTTCAGTGTATATGCTGTAGCCTCTATTTCAGTTGGAATCAAAATTGTATTAATCACTTACTATTTCTAAAACATTTTTTACACATTTCCACAATATAAGTAGCTTATTTATAACCTACTTCCCAAACATGCATACTGGTTTCATGCTGCAGAAGGCATCACACAGTCTGGCGCTTGTCTCTCTCTCTCCCTCTCCCTCCTTTTCTCTCTCTCTCTCTGTGTGTGTGTGTGTGTGTGTGTGTATTTATTTCCCTCTCTCTCTCTCTCCATTGGGTTAAAAGTTAAGAAGTGTCACCAGAAGAAAATGGAGAGAGAAGCCTGGGAGACATCTCCTGAGTATCAGTTCTGTCACACCCTTTCATTCTTCAAGTGTATTCTTAAAAAATGGGGAAAAAGATAATGAAAAAGAATGAAATATTCTTGGATGGACTATGCTTAACCCATTGTAAACTGGTGACATATAGCTTTGAAAGGTAATTTAAAAGTCAATGAAAAACATTTTAGTCTTTGAGAGACAAATGGACACTGTGGATCAACAATGAAGGGACCTGAGAGGCAGGAGAGTCTTTTGGGAGCTCTAAAGGAGAAGCCTTGCAAATGATGACTAGTTGACAAGAGAGAAAAGTTTAGAGAATTTAGGAATCTGGAGTACAACCTTCCAGCTGACGAAGAATGGCTGTGGCCTCTATACAATGTATTTCTTATTTGAGCCAAGCCTCATTTGGCAAAAATAGTTAAATTCTTAAAGAACTTGAGTGCATGCGTTTTCTCAGGAGTCCACAGTTCCTATGTCTAGTCGTCTAGAAGGCACAAAAAGTTCCTTGAAGTAGCCCAGCACTGAGGAGTGGGTGCACAGGATCCAAAACAGGCATCACCATGCTCGCAGCTACAGCCCCATCCCTAGGGACACCACATATGCAGTGCATGCTGTACATTACTCCTCTCAAAAAGGTGACATTTATATTTTAGTTCACATAAATGACACCTCCTTGTGAAAGGCACTGTACACTGAATGGCTGAATGTGGCATCCCAGACCAAATGCTCCCTATTCATGCCATTTTTATTCAAGTCCCTATATAGGTGTATACATTAGCATGGCCACCAAGATTTATGCCAAGGAATTATGCAAATCCTAGCCCCCAGTGCTCCCCTTTCATCCTGCCCTGAGTGAGATTTTAACATGCAGATTTTTGTTTTATTTTGTTATAATCCCAGCCACCCAGGAGCTGAGGCAGGAGTACACCTTGACCCTGGGAGTCAGGTTTCAGTGAGAGGAGATCAGGCCACTATACTCAAGCCTGGGTTACAGAGTGAGACCCTGTCTCAAAACAAAAACAAAATGTAATAGAAAAAAAAAAAAAAAAAAAAACATAAAATTACTGGTTAAGTAGAAAGGACCAACCACTCACCAAAGCTTTCTGTTGTCCTAAACTCCAGCTGTGCTGCACACACCTAAAGTCCATCAGAAAAACCACAGAATACAACAACCTGGATGCAAAGAAGTGGAGAAGAGTCAGAGGGTAACAGGTTGGAGAGAGTAGAAATTTCATTTCTTCTTCAGGCTATGGAGCAGGAAGAACCCATAGAAATTAATACAAGATACACACAAGACAGATAATGGGCTGGAAGACAGGAAATGCTATTTTATTTCTCTTAGCTCCATGGTTCTTTATAGTTCATTTATTTGAGTGCCTGCTCACTCGCTCTGTGTGTGTGTGTGTGTGTGTGTGTGTGTTATTAAATAGTAATAGCTGTAAGATTTTTAGTTCTAAGATTCTTTGCATTAATATATTTTCCATCCTTTTACTTTTACCCAACTTTCACGTAGGTCTTCATATTTAAAATGGCTTTGTTTTAGAAAGTATATAGTTGTTTCTTATTTTTATATAAATTGACAATCTCTGTCTTAATAGAAGCATTTATATCATTTATATTAATACAATTATTTACATACATGCATTTAAATCTACTGGCTTTCTGATTGTTTTCTATGTTTCATCCTTTTCTTATTCCAAATTTTCCTCTTTTCTGCCTGATGGTGGATTTAGTATTTTTAGCATTCAGTTATATTTTCTCTACTCTTGGCGTATTAGTTAGGTCACTTTAAAAAATATAGTGGTTGCTCTAGGGTTTACAAAGTTCATATTTAATTCATCACAGTCTATCTTCAAAGAATATTATACTACTTTTTGGCTGAATAGGAACAGCTCCAGTCTGCAGCTCCCAGTGTGATCAATGCAGAAGACGGGTGATTTCTGCATTTCCAACTGAGGTACCTGGTTCATCTCATTGGGACTGGTTGGACAGTGGCTGCAGCCAATGGAGGGTGAGCTGAAGCAGGGTGGGGTGTCGCCTTACCCGGGAAACACAAGGGTTTGGGGGATTTCCCTTTACTAGCGAAGGGAAGCCGTGACAGACTACCTGGAAAAAAGGACACTTCCGCCTAAATACTATGATTTTCCCAAGGTCTTAGCAACCGGCAGACAAGGTGATTCTCTCCTGTGTCTGGCTCAGCGGGTCCCATGCCCACGGAGCCTTGCTCACTGCTAGCACAGCAATCTGAGATCGATCTGTGAGGCAGGCGGCAGCCTGGCTTGGGGAGGCGCATCCGCCATTGCTGAGGCTTGAGTAGGTAAACAAAGCAGCCAGGAAGCTCAAACTGGGTGGAGCCCACAGCAGATCAACAAGGCCTACTGCCTCTAAACTCCACCTCTGTGGACTGGGCATAGCTGAACGAAAGGCAGCAGACAACTTCTGCAGACTTAAACATCCCTGTCTGACAGCTCTGAAGAGAGCAGTGGTTCTCCCAGCATGGCGTTTGAGCTCTGAGAAAGGACAGATTGCCTCCTCAAGTGGGTCCCTGACCCCCCATGTAGCCTAACTGGGAGACACCTCCCAGTAGGGGCCAACAGACACCTCATACAGGTGGCTGCCTCTCTGGGACGAAGCTTCCAGAGGAAGGATCAGGCAGCAATATTTGCTGTTCTGCAATATTTGCTATTCTGCAGCCTCCACTGGTGATACCCAGGCAAACATGGTCTGTAGTGGAACTCCAGCAAACTCCAGCAGATCTGCAGCTGAGGGACCTGACTGTTATAAGGAAAACTAACAAACAGAAAGAAATAGCATCAACATCAACAAAAAGGTCATCTGCACCAAAACCCCATCTGTAGATCACCAACATCAAAGACCAAAGGTAGATAAAACCACAAAGATGGGGAGAAACCAGAGCACCTCTTCTGCTCCAAAGGATCGCAGCTCCTCGCCAGCAACAGAACAAAGCTGGATGGAGAATGACTTTGACGAGTTGACAGAAGTAGGCTTCAGAAGGTCGGTAATAACAAACTTCTCCGAGCTAAAGGATGATGTTTGAACCCATCGCAAGGAAGCTAAAAACCTTGAAAAAATATTAGACGAATGGCTAACTAGAATAAACAGTGTAGAGAAGACTTCAATGACCTGATGGAGCTGAAAACCATGGCACGAGAACTACATGATGCATGCACAAGCTTCAGTAGCCAATGCGATCAAGTGGAAGAAAGGGTATCAGTGATTGAAGATCAAATTAATGAAATAAAGCAAGAAGACAAAGTTAGAGAAAGAAGAGTAAAAAGAAACAAACAAAGCATCCAAGAAATATGGGACTATGTGAATAGACCAAATCTACGTTTGATCGGTGTACCTGAAAGTGATGGGGAGAATGGAACCAAGTTGGAAAACACTCTTCAGGATATTAGCCAGGAGAACTTCCCCAACGTAGCAAGGCAGGCCAACATTCAAATTCAGGAAATACAGAGAAGGCCACAAAGGTACGCCTTGAAAAGAGCAACCACAAGACACATAATTGTCAGATTCACCAAGGTTGAAATGAAGGAAAAAGTGTTAAGGGCAGCCAGAGAGAAAGGTCGAGTTACCCACAAAGGGAAGCCCATGAGACTAACAGCGGATCTCTCAGCAGAAACCCTACTAGCCAGAAGGGAGTGGGGGTCAATATTCAGTATTCTTAAAGAAAAGAATTTTCAACCCAGAATTTCATATCCAGCCAAACTAAGCTTCATAAGTGAAGGAGAAATAAAATCCTTTACAGACCAGCAAATGCTGAGAGATTTTGTCACTACCAGGCCTGCCTTACAAGAGCTCCTGAAGGAAGCACTAAACATGGAAAGATACAACTGGTACCAGCCACAGCAAAAGCATGCCTAATTGTAAAGACCATCGATGCTATGAAGAAGCTGCATCTATTAACGGGCAAAATAACCAGCTAACATCATAATGACAGGATCAAATTCACACATAACAATATTAAGCTTAAATGTAAATGGACTAAATGCCCCAATTAAAAGACACAGACTGGCAAATTGGATAAAGAGTCAAGACCCATCAGTGTGCTGTATTCAGGAGACCCATCTCATGTGCAAAGACACATATAGGCTCTAAATAAAGGACTGGAGGAAGATCTACCAAGCAAAAAAACAAAACAACAACAACAACAAAAAAAACAGCAGGGGTTGCAATCCTAGTCTCTGATAAAACAGACTTTAAACCAACAAAGATCAAAAGAGACAAAGAAGGCCATTACATAGTGGTAAAGGGATCAATTCAACGAGAAGAGCTAACTATCCTAAATATATATGCACCCAATACAGGAGCATCCAGATTCATAAAACAAGTACTGAGAGACCTACAAAGAGACTTAGACTCCCACACAATAATAATGGGAGACTTTTTAACACCCCACTGTCCATATTAGACAGATCAA